>NC_000023.11:33941769-34092126 GCF_000001405.40 Homo sapiens
CTTTCCATTGTATATTGTGGCAGTTTTAAAAAGCAAATCCACAGTGTTGTCATTCCTCTCCTCAAGAGAGGGAGCTTAATTCCCCTCTTTTTGAGGGTGGACTCACTTAGTAACTGTTCTAAATTTTAGAAGTGTTTGCGTGTCACTTCTGAATTTAACTTATTAAAAAAACACAGCTTGCATCTTGGGTTCATTCTCTCTCTCTCTCCCTCTCTCTCTCTCTCATCACTTGCCCTGGAAAGCAGACTGCCATTTATAATGAGCCCTACGGAGAGGCCATGTGGCAAGAAGCTGAGGCTGCCAGAGGGAACCTGAGGCCTGCCAGCAACCACATACATGAGTTTGGAAGTTAATTCTTCAGCTTCCTTTGAGTCTTGAGGTAGCTACAGCCTGGCCAGAACTTGACTAAACTTCATAAGGGACACTGAGCCAGAAACACCTAACTAAGCAAATTCTGGTTTTATGACCTTCAGAAATTGTGTGAAATAATAAATATTTGTTGTTTTCATTATTCACCATAGCAAAGTCATGGAATCAACCTAGGTGCCCATCAACAGTGGATTGGATAAAAAAGGTGCACATATAACGCATGGAATACTATGCAACCATAAAAAAGAATGAAACCACATCCTTTGCAGCAACATAGTTACAGCTATAGAGCATAATCCTAAGCAAATTAACACAGGAACAGAAAAGCAAATATTGCCTGTTCTCACTTATAAGTGGGAGCTAAACATTGGGTATACATGGACATAAAGATGGAAACAATAGATGATGAGGACTCCGAAATGGGGAAAGAACTGGAGTAACGGTTGAAAACCTACCTGTTGGGTACTATGTTCACTATTTGGGTAACAGATTCAGTAGAAGCCCAAACCCTAGCATTATGCAATGCACCCATGTAACAAACCTGCACATGTACCCACTGAATCTAAAATAAACTGTATTTGTTGTTGTAAGATGCTAAAGTTTGGGATAAGTTGTTCTGCAACAATAGGAGTGTGTGTGTGTGTGTGTGTGTGTGTGTGTGTGTGTGTAGAGAGAGAGAGAGAGATACAGAAAGACAGAAGAAAAGAATATTTTTGGCAAGTAAAACTTGCATATTAATGAAAAGAAAGGATATTTTTGATAAAGTAAATTCTAAAATACAATATATAAACTAATACATATATCTGTTTGGATTTAATAGATCAGAGACCATTGTAAAAACAGTGTGCCTATTGCATAAATATCCCTAATAAAAAACTCACAATTCTGTAATAAAATTATTATATATTTTAATTTTGAAAGATGTTTCAAGGCTGAACTATCCAGATGAAAGAGGTGAAATCCACATAATTATGCTTGAAAGCATATGGTTTTAATTTTTATATTTTTGTAATTAAGTGAAGAAATTAAGGGGCATTGAAGATTTCACCTCTAAGCAGCTCACAGTTTTCCTAAGCTTGGACTAGGTGACAACTCTCTCAATCTCACTCAAAACATATTTTAGTATAAATTAAGGTTAATCTGTGAATAGATGTCAATAACATTTTCCTATTAAATAAATACAAATACCTTGACTTTAAGATACAAAAAAACTACTTGTCATTTAGTATTTTGTATTTTTAACTTGCCAGATTTATGTCATAATATAAATGCCAGAATTTTGTCTAGGTGAAATAAGAATCATCTGAAACACATTCATTATTATTTCATCAGAATAAGCTTGAATTATGTTTTTGTATATTTCAGTAAAATTATGATGAGAAAACAAACTATAAAGGCCAAAATATTTCTATTGCTTACTCATTAAAATGTTTTTAAAGATTCAACATTTACATATTGTTTCTCTGCTTTCTCAGTTCTACCTTATAAAGCCTATAACTCTCATTACCACAGTACTTACTCTCCCAACAATCTACTAAAAGACAGACAAAAGCCCAGGTATATCACTGTACTTGAATTTGTATTTTTATTCTGAATAAAAACAATTGACTGATACTCTTTATGTGGAAAAACCATACATTTGATGGACAATAATTTTCCAAAACAGACTTTTTGATCTATCATGACATTAAAAGTTCAACACATTTCCATTAAGGTCTAGAGGCCCTGGTAAAAAGCACATTAATTACATTTGCTGATGACAATAAATTTAAGCATGGATCCAATACTACTAACTCCAAAGAATTATACAGACCTAGCAACTTAACAACAAGGAACATTTTGGCAGTATTTTTAGCTGTATATTATATTTTTCTTCTTTGAAAGAGTACAGTATAATTTTACTTGACTGAAAGACACAACGATTAACTTCATCAAGTGTGTGGAAATTCATGAATTTGAGGAAATCTCTCTCTTTAGAATTTTTTTTTCACTTTCTTTTCATCCTTTCATGGATCATTTTTTTAATGCTTCTTTTACCCTATAGGTGGCTTTTAATTACTTTCCCTATTACCACTAGCAGTGCAGGAATCTTACCGAAAATATTTGTGGCTCTGTCTCAGGGTATGAGAAAATATTTGCAAATTAGACTCACATTCTTTAATGACCCTCCCATTACCTTCTTATTGAATTATAAATTGGCTCTGATTCTTTACTTTGATGCCTCACATGATCATTCTTCCTGAATTTCCATTGCAGTTTTGTTCCTTACTGTCTGTTGTTGTTTTGCTCATTTATTCATTCATTCATTCATGATCTATTATTATTTTCATTCTATCGACATCTATTTATTGATTCTCATAATGTATCAGATACAGTATAAGTCAAGAAGACAAACATCGATGAATAGGGCACAATCATTATCTTTCATGGCACTTTAGCAACCATTAATCATTATTACAAACCTAATACTTTAATGTCCATTATACTTTGTGCTATAAAGGAAAACAATAGAACTAAGATTATAATGTTGTGGAAATTATCAAATCTAAAAGGGCAGAAAAATCTTCAGCATAAAATCCATATTTAGGCAAAGCCAATTGTAAGTAATACAAATTTGCCACAAGTAAGAAGTAAAAAAAAGGGGAGAAATCTAGGCATACAAAATAACACATGAGAAAACTCTGGAAGGAACAAACTTGTTGGAAATGCTACAAATTGGTAATGTGTCTAGATCACAGCAAGTAAAGGAGAAAATAGAGATGAAGGTGAAGAGTTGGGCAATAATTGGATTGTGCAATGCTTTGTAGGACATTATAGATTTTGGATTTTATTCTAAGTACAGGTAATTTGTGTAAGGCTAGAGCAGCGCCAAATGATCTAGCTGGTAATTCTTAGATAATTACATGTCTTTCATTGTCTGCTTTAAAGTTGTGATCTTAGGAACTTCTAGTGGCTAGGCATAAAACTAGCTAAGTATTTCTTAGAATCCAAGCTTGAGTTGGTGCCTTGGTACTCATTTCTTAGAGAACAGAGGGCAGATATTTATTTTAAAAGCTTTAAGCGACATTGCATAATGTAAGGTTAATATAAACATTTCAGTGCTTTTTAAAGCTACCATTTATAATAGCATACATAAATATTGTGAATACAGTGGGGTTGTTTTGAGGCAGGTCTCATAACAATGTCAAGTATGAATAAGTTTTTTCAAAAATGTGTTAGACAAGTATGGAAAACTATTAAGGATTAAACAATGTAATTTTTTAAGGATATCATGTTCATGGTTTGGAAGGACCAATATTGTAAAAATGTCAAATTTTTTTTTTTATAATTTCATGTATACTTTCCATGAAATCCTAATTAAATTTACAAAGACCCTTTTTAGTGAAAACTGAAAAGCTAATTCTTCACTTTATATGAAAATTCGAGTGATGAAGCCTAACAAAAAACAATGTAGGTGAAAAATGAAATCGGAAGGATTAATTCCACAGGATCCCAAGACTTATTGTAAAACCTCAGCAATTGATACAGTGTGTTCTTGGTTCAAGGACAAAAAATACACCAGTGGAATAGTATAGAGAGGCAGGAAACTTTTGGACACTTGCTATATGACAGTGGTTTATGCAGAGCATGAGGAGAGTGATATATGTCTTTTCTGTTTGTTTTTAAAATAAATGACAGTGGCTTACTTGAAAGCCTATATACAAAACGTAATAAACCTCATACCTACATCACACCATTCACAAAAATCAATATTAGGTGAAGTGTCGATCTAAATGTGAAGGGCAAACAAGTTTTCTAGGTGAAAAATATTCAAAGGTATCTATTATTTGGGAGTAGGAAAGATTTTTTTATATATGACACAAAATGTATGAATAATTTAAACTATATTAAAATTAAAAATTTCTAGTATTCCGAATAATATGAAAAAGTAAGTCACACGGTGGACAAAGATATTTGCAACACACATTAAAATAAGGGACTTGTATTTAAAATATGTGAAGATTCTTGCAAGTCAGTTAAAAAGTCATATAGCACTGTGTAAAAATGGTCAAGAGACTTGAACAGGTACTTCACAAACCAGGGAATTCAACTGGACAATAAACATGAAAAGATGCTCCATGTCATTGTTCATCAGGGCAATTAATATTTAAAACAGTCATTCTTTTTTAGTTTAAGTATCCTGGTGGAAGACTAGCATAAAAGAGTCCACATTCTGTCCCTTGAAGATTCATGTAGAGCACATCTACAAAATAGATTTATGTCATCCTAAGTTCCTCAAAAGTCTCATTATTACAGCATCAACTCAAAGTCCAAAATTTCATTGAAATCTCATCAGCTCAATAGTCCCACGTCTCATAATTTAATTTATGTAAATCACCTATGGGTGAGGCTCTAGGAGTAATCTGACTTGGGAAACAATCCTTCTCCATCCCTGGACTTGCATAATTAAAGAATCATGTTACCTTATCCCAAAATGCAATGACAGAAAAAGCATAAGTAATAGTTACAGACATTCTGCTTTAAAACCAGAGAAAACAAAAGAGAAAGGATTCCCAAAATTTAAAATGTATCTAGGCAAACTCCATCAGCTTTCAAGGCCTTGTAATTATCCTATGTGTTTTTTGCCTCTGACCTTGGGGCTCAAAGCTCCACTCTCTGGACTTGTCATTGATCTTTCCTAGAAAATCTCAAATTTATATTTAACTTTTGCTGAGGTGGCTGAGGGACAGTATTCTTGAGCTTCCTAGATACTGTCTACTTTGATTGGACAGTTCTGTGAGTCACACCCAGAATCTCATAAAAGGGCCTTTTGTGTAAAAATACTGTGACTTTGGGGAGTGATGTCACCAAAATTGCAGAGTAGATACAATCTGGCTTCACTGTACTTCAAAGAAAACCAAAATGATCTTCAACACTAAGATCATCCCTAGCAGTATTCCAGAGCTCAAATATGAGGATGAGAGGATTTCTGGGCCATAGAAAATGGAAAAACTCCAACCAGATGAAAAGAGAAAAGGAATTCTCCATCCTTGAGGCCCCTCTCCCAATCTGCCAGCATTGCATATTGATCATTGCTTTAGGACTCACAATTTCTTTTTTTTTTTTTTTTAACTTTTGCTTTTTTAAATTTTTGGTTGAGGTTCAGGGATACATGTGCAGGTTTGTTATATAGTTAAATTGCATATTATGGAGGTTTCATGTACAGATTATTTCATCACCCAGGTAATAAGTGTCGGATACCACAGGCAGTTTTTTGATCACCTTCCTCCTCCTACCTCTATCCTCAAGTAGGCCCTGGTGACTGTTGTTCCCTTCTTTGTGTCTATTTGTTCTCAATGTTTAGCTCCCACTTTTAGGTGAGAACATGTTGTATTTGGTTGTTTGTTCCTGTGTTAGTTCAATTAGGAAAATGGCCTCCAGCTTCATCCATGTTGCTGCAAAGGAAATGATCTCATTCTTTTTTATGGCTCTGTGGTATTGCATGGTGTATATGTACCATATTTTCTTCATCTAGTCTTCTGTGGATGGGAATTTAGGTTGATTCTATGTCTTTGTTATTGTGAATACTGCTGTGATAAACCTACGTGTACAAATGTCTTTATGGTAGAAGGATTTATATTCCTTTGGGTATATACTCAATAATGGAATTGCTGGATCGAATGGTAATTCAACCTGTAGGGGAAAAATCCCCTGAAGACAACTGGAGACAGAGAGGAACCAGGAATGGAAACCCAAGTTTTTGAAACTCTGCTCTTTATCTCAGCTAAAGGAGGATTCAAATCAGAATGGCTATTCAGCAGCACCGTGCTGTAGCAGCCACACTCCATGGGTCTTCTGGGCATGAATGCATAGCCAGTCTTCCCACACATATTCCTTCTGGTATCCCCCCACCTACCAATCTCAGACAGGTGGTGCTTTAACATTTGTGAGAGTAGAGGCAAACCTGGGTTTATGGTGCCATTTAGGAGGTAGCGGCTTAGGATTATGGAGAATCAGAGGCAATTACAAAGAACCTGTAAGCAAACATACCCTAGAAAGACTAAAACAAGCAAGACAGTGAAGACTGGAAAAAATTTAACTAATACTTCATTGTGAAACCATCGACATATATTCACAAGAAACAACAGGAAGCAAGGGAACCATGAACTCCCCAAACAGACAAAAACAGTAAGACCAACCCTAATGAGATAGATAGTGATGTGCAAGGTCTTAGATCAAAAATTCAAAATAGCAGTTCTAAAGAAACCAAGCAAACTAAAAGATAACAAAAAAGTAATTCAGAAATGTATTAGAGAAATTCAACAAAGAGATTGAAATAATAATTTAATAAATCCAGCAGAAATCTTGGAACTGAGAAATATATCTGCTGAACTAAAAATGCATTAGAGTCTCTCAAAAGAGGAATGGATGAAGCAGAAGAAAAAAATCAGTAAGCTCAAAGACAAGCTATGTGAAAACAGAAATGAAAAAGGAGACATAACAACTGATACCACAGAAATACAAAGAATCTTTAGCAACTTTATGAACAACCATATGCCAAGAAATTGGAAAACCTAGAAGGAGTGAATGAATTCCTAGACACATGCAACATATCAAGATTGAACCATGAAGAAATAAAAAACCTGAACAGAGCAGTAACAAGTATCAACATCAAAGCAGTAATCAAATGTCTCCCAACAAAGGAAAACCCAGGACCTGACAGTTTCACAGGTGAATTCTACCAACTATTTAATGAAGTGCTAATACCAATTCTACTAAATTTTCCAAAAAATTGAAGAGGTGTGAATACTTCCAAGCTCATTTTATAAGGCCAACATTACTCTTGATACCAGAATCAGACATGGATCCAACAACAAAAACATGAAACTACAGGACAATATTCCTGATGAACATAAATGGAAAAATCCTTAACAAAATAACAAATTTAAAAGATTACTTACCATGATGAAGTGGTATTCATTCTAGGGATGCAAAGTTGGCTGCACATACACAAATAAATAAAGAGATACATCACGTCAACAGAATAAAGTGTAAAAACCATCCAGTCATTTTAATAGGTGCTGAAAAAACATTCAACAAAATTCAACATCACTTTATGATAAAAACGCTCAACAAACTCAATATATACCTCAAAACAATGAAGACCATATGTGAGCCGGGTGTGGTGGCTCAGACCTGTAATCTCAGCACTTTGGGAGGCAGAGGTGGGTGGATCACTCGAGCCCAGGAGTTTGAGACCAGCCTGGGGAGGATCACCTGTACCTGGGAGATCGTGGCTGCAGTGAGCCACAATTATGCCACTGCACTCTAATCTGAGTGACTGGGTAAGATGCTGTCTCAAATAAATAAATAAATAAATAAATAAATAAATAAATAAATAAATAAATAAAAAGACCATATATGACAGTGTCACAGATAACATCATACTGAATGGGAGAAAATTAAATACCTTTTCTCCAAGATCTAAAACAAGACATGGATGCCCACTTTCATTAGTTTTTTTCAACATAGTACTAGACATCCTGACCAGAGCAATTAGGCAAGAGAAAAAAAAAAGGGAATCCAAATTGGGAAGGAAGAAGTCAAATTGATCTTGTTCACAGGTAAAATGATATTATATTTACAACAACCTAAAGACATCAACAAAAAACTTTTAGAATTGAAAAGTGAATTTAGTAACATTGCAGGATACAGAACCAATATACAAAAATTGTCATTTATAGATGCCAACAGCAAATGAATGAAAAAACTCAACGAACTAATCCAATTTATAACAGACACAATATATAAAATATCTAGGAATTAATTTAACCGAAGAAGTGAAAGTGCTATACAAGGAAAACTATAAAACACTGATTAAAAAATTAAATGGGGCACACAAAAAAGGGAAATGCTCATGGACTGGAAGAATTAATATTTTTAAAAGGTCAGTGATCTACAGATTTAGGGCAATTATGCAATTATTATAAAAATACCAATGATATTCCTTATAGAAATAGAAAAAAATCATAAAATTAATATAGAACCACGAGTCTCCAAATAGCCAAAATCATCCTGAGCCAAAAGAATAAAGCTGGAGTTATCACACTACTTGATTTCAAAATATACCACAAAGCCATAGCAATAAAAACAGCACAGTACTATAATATAAAGAGAACATGGATCAATAGACCAGAAAAGAGAACCCAGAAATAAATGCGTAGATTTACAGCCAATTCTTTTTTTTTTTTTTTTTTTTGGGATGGAGTTTCACCCTTGTTGCCCAGGCTGGAGTGCAATGGCCAGATCTCGGCTCACTGCAAACTCCGCCACCCTGGTTCAAGCCATTATCCTGCCTCAGCCTCCCAAGTAGCTGGGATTACAGGCATGCACCACCACACCCTGCTAATTTTGTATTTTTAGTAGAGACAGGGTTTCTCCATGTTGGTCAGGCTGGTCTCAAACTCCCAACCTCAGGTGATCTGCCCACCTCGGCCTCCCAAAGTGCTGGGATTACAGGTGTGAGCCACTATGCCTGGCCCAGCCAATTCATTTTTAACCAAATTGCCAAGAGCATACATTGTGAAAAGGTAATATCTTCACTAAATTGTGCTGGGAAAACTGGATAAACATGCAGAAGAATGAAGTTAGGGCATTATTTCTCATCATATACAAAACCAAATCAAATTGGATGAAAAACTTAAATTGAAGACCAAAAACTGTGAAACTACTAAAAGTAAACCTTCAGGAAGCACTTTGGGATACTGATCTGAGCAAAGATTTTTGAGCAAGACCTGAAAAGCACAGGCAACAAAAACAAAAGAAGACAAATGGGATTATATCATGCTGAAAAGTTTCTGCAAAGCAAAGGACACAATCAACAAAGTAAAGAGACAACCTACAGAATGGTAGAAAAAACATTGCAAACTACTCATCTGACAAGGGGCTAATAACCAGAATATATGAGGACTGCAAACAACTCAATAGCAAAAACAATTAAATAAATTTGCTTAAACAATGGGCAAATAATTTGAATAGACATTTCTCAAAAGAAGAATGCAAAGGGCCAATAGGTATGTGGAAAATGCTCAGTGTCACTAATCATCATCAGAGAAGTATAAATTAAACCACAATGAGATATTACATTGCTTCTGTTCAAATGGCTTTTATCAAAAAGATAAAAAAGTAACGGAGGCTGGTGAAGATGTAGAGAAAGGGAAATACTTGTACACTCTTAGTGTGATTGTGAATTAGTACAATCACTATGAAAAAAAGTATTGAAGTTCCTCAAAAAATCTAAAAATATATTCAGCCACAATAAAGAATAAAATCCTGACATTTACAGCATTGTGGATGAACCTGGAGGTCATTATGTTAAGTGAAATAAGCCATGCACAGGAAAGCAAATACTGCATGTTCCCACTCATATGTGGGAGCTACAAAAGTGGGTCTTACGGAGATAGGGAGTAGAATAATAGTTAACAGTGACTGAGGGGGGTGTGTGAAAAGGCGATGAAAAGAAATTGGTTAATGGGTATCAAGTGAAGTTAGAAGGAATATGATCTTGAGTTTGATAGTACAGTAGTTTAACCATAGTTAACAATAATTTATTGTGCAGTTCAAAGTAGCTAACAGAGAAAAACTGGAATGTTCCCAACATAAAGAAAAAATAAATCTTTGAAGTCATGAATATTCCAATTATTCTGGTTTGATCATTAGACAATGTATGCATGTATCACATGTACCCCAAATATTACAACTATTATGTATCAATAAAAAGAATTAATTTAGTATACATGAGTAATAACAACAAAACATTGTGACCTTGTATTTTACTGATGAAGGTATTAACAGTATGTTAGTCTGTTTTCATGCTGCTAATAAAGACATACCTGAGACTGTGTAATTTTTAAAGGAAAGAGGTTTAATTGACTCACAGTTTCATATGGTTGCAGAGGCCTGACAATCATGGCAGAAGGTGAAGGAGGAGGAAAGACACGTTTTACACTGCAGTAGGCAAGAGAGCCTGTGCAAAAGAACTGCTCTTTGTAAAATCATCAGATCTCACGAGACTTATTCACTGTGAAAACAGTATAGGAAAAACCCACCCCATGGTTCAATTACCTCCCACTGGGGCCCTCCCATGACATGTGGGGATTATGGGAGCTACAGTTCAAGATGAGATTTGGGTACACAGCTGAGCCATATCATTCTGCCCCTCCCCCCTCCCAAATCTTGTATCCTCACATTTCAAAATCGATTGTGCCTTCCCAACAGTCCCCCAAAGCCTTAACTCATTCCAGCATGAACTCAAAAATCCAAGTCCAAAGTCTCATCTGAGACAAGCCCCTTCCACCTATGAGCCTGTAAAGTCAAAAGCGAGTTAGTTACTTTCTAGATACAATGGGGGTACAGACATTGGGCAAATATACTGGTTCCAAATGAGAGAAATTGGTGAAAATGAAGGGGGAGGGGGGACACAGAAGTTTGAAATCCAATAGGGCAGTCATTAAAACTTAAAGTTCCGAAAGGATCTTTTTTGACTCCATGTCTCACATCCAGGTCATGCTGATGCAAGAGGTTGGCTCCCACAGCCTTGGGCAGCTCCGCCCCTGTGGCTTTGCAGAATAAAGCACCCTCTTGGCTGCTTTCATGGGCTGGCATTGAGTGTCTGTGGCTTTTCCAGGTGCACAGTGCAGGCTGCCGGTGAATCTACCATTCTGGGTTCTGGAAGACAGTGGCCCTCTTCTCACAGCTCCACTAGGCAGTGTCCCAGTGGGGACTCTGTGTGGGGACTCTAACCCCACATTTCTCTTCCTCGCTGCCCTGACAGAGATTCTCCATGAGGGCCCTGCCCCTGTAGCAAAATTCTGCCTGCACATCCAGACATTTCCATACATCCTATGAAATCTAGCCAGAGATTCCCAAACCTCGGTTCTTGGCTTATGGTCACCCACAGGCTGAACACCATGTGAAAGCTGTCAAGGTGTGGGGCTTGCACCCCATGAAGCCATGGCCAAAACTGTACCTTGGCCCCTTTAGCCACTGCTGGAGCAGCTGGAACACAGGACACCAAGTCCCTAGGCTGCACATAGCAGGGGGGCCCTGGACCTGGCCCAGGAAACCACTTTTCCCTCCTGGGCCTCTGGGCCTGTGATGGGAGGGGCTGTCATGAAGGTCTCTGACATGCCCTGGAGACATTTTCCCCATTGTCATGGTGATTAACATTTATCTCCTCGTTACTTATGCACATTTCTGCAGCTGGCTTGAATTTCTTCCCAGAAAATGGGTTTTTCTTTTCTGTTGCATAGTCAGGCTGCAAATTTTCAAAACTTTTATGCTCTGCTTCATCTTCAGTGCTTTGCCACTTTGAAATTTCTCCTGCCAGATACCCTAAATCATCTCTCTGAAGTTCAAAGTTCCACAAATCTCTAGGGCAGGGGCAAAATGCTGTCAGTCTCTTTGCATAGCAAGAGTGACCTTTACTGCAATTTCCAAGAAGTTCTTCATCTCAATCTGAGACCACCTCAGCCTGGACTTTATTTCCATATCACTGTCAGCATTTTGGTCAAAGACATTCAACGAGTCTCTAGGAAGTTCCGAACTTTACCACGTTTTTCTGTCTTCTTCCGAGCCCTCCAAACTGTTCCAACCTCTGCCTGTTACCCAGTTCCAAAGTTGCTTCCTCATTTTTGAGTATCTTTACGGCAGCACCCCAGTCTACTGGTACCAATTTATTATATTAGTCTGTTCTTCTACTGCTAATAAAGACATACCCGAGACTGTGTAATTTATAAAAGAAAGAGGTTTAATGGAGTCACAGTTCCACATGACTGGGGAGTCCTCACAATAATGACAGAAGACAAAGGAAGAGCAAAGGCACATCACACATAGCAGCAGGCAAGAGAGTGTGTGCAGAACTGCTCTTTATAAAACCATCAGATCTCATGAGACTTATTCACTATCACAAGAACAGCATGGGAAAAACCCACCCCCATGGTTCAATTACCTCCCACCAGGTCTCTCCCACAATACATGGGGATTATGGGAGCTACAATTCAAGATGAGATTTGGGTGGGAACACAGCCAAACCATATCAAGCAAAATGCTGTCTGGTCACACCATTGGCTTTCTTTCCAGAATCAACTTTCCTCAAAGTAGATCTCCTAATATTAGTGTCTTTTGCAATCAGGACAGGCCAAAAAGATCCCTAGTCATCAAGACCTGTTTCCTTTTTGCTTAACAGTTAGTTCTTCTCTCAATTTATCTCCTTCCTTTTGCATTTTACTATAAACAAATCAAGAACAAATCAAGCTGCACCTTTAACACTTTTTTGGAAATCTCCTCAGCTAGGTATCCTAGTGCCTTCTGCTTTTCACATAAATGCAGGGCACAATTCCAATAAGATTTCTGCTTCTATGTGAGAAGAATTCCCTGTTCTCTAGCTTACTGTAATAATTTTATCCCTTTCTTCTGAGCCTTTACTGGAAGCATTCTCCAAGTGCAGACTTCTACAAGCTGTGTGTTCAGGTCAGTCTAGCATTGTCTACATGCTCCTCAATGTTTTTCCAGCTTCCACCCCCTCCCAGTCATTTAAACATTCCTAAGTTATTTAAACATTTTTAGATAACTAGCACCTCATTTATAATATCAAAATATCAAAATTAGTTTCCTAATGCTGTTCTCATAAGTTACTACAAACTTAGCACCTGGAAAAAACCCACTAATTTATTATTCTGTATTTCTATATATCACAAATCCTGTACAGGTCTCACTGGGCTATGATCAAGGTGTTGGCAAGGATGCCTTCCTTTCTGTAGATTTTAGAGGGGAAATTTTTTCTTGCTCACTTAGATTGTTCACACAATTAAATTCCTGCAGTTGTGAGACTAAGGTCTGGTGTTCTTGCTGGCTGTAAGCTGAGAGTTATTCCCAGCTTCTAGAAGTTGTCTACATGTTTTAACTCCTTTCCTCCATTTTCAAGTCCCTCTCGTGCTTCAAATGTCTCCTCTCTCGTATACCATTATCACATCTCTCTAACTGACGTTTCTGTCTTCTTTCTCTGCTTTTAATTGCCCATGTGACTACATTGGGTTTACGTAGATAACCCAGAATGATCTCACTATCTTGAGGTCTGTTCATTGGAAACTGTAATTTCATCTTTAGCTTTAACTTCCTTTTCCATTATTATATTCACTGGCATGATGTTAGAGGTTAAGAAATGGACATATTTGGAGTTGGGGGCATTATTTTTCCTTACACTTCAAAGTTGTTTTTAAATGAGGTTCAATTTATCCAAGATTATTTCTCAACCATTTATGAAATCATGAATAAACCCTCAGCTGAACTCTGCTAAAATTATCTCAAAAGTAGCTGTGAAGCGGTAGGCTACAAAATTCTATTACCCTTCTTTTTACTTTTGTATTTAGTCACATCCAGTCTCCCTTCATGGAGACACAGAAGTTAGAGGAGAACATCTTTTCCCTTCCTTGGGTTAACAGTTTTGTCTGCCTCCATTCAGATTCAACTCAACCTACAGGTCTGAGATCCGCCCTACTGCTACAACTCAATCCTATGCACTGACCACTGACTATTGTCTTGATATTCTTCTTTCTTTAGATGAGGGCAGATCAGAAGACACTAAGCTCTAAACTTACATGGGATAGGAAAGTACATATTATGTTCCTTACCCCCTACTCACCAATGGAGGCCTAAATGTAGCCATCACATGGAGTACATTGTCTAAGGATTCTGCACTGATTTTTATAGCCTATTTTTCCTATGTCCTGGATTTTTTCATTTTTAGTTGTATATTATCATTGTAGTCATAATTATTACATTATTATTTGTATGAAGATAACCTAGGATGAGTATGATACACTTCCACATTAACTTCTTTCTTGTTATTGTTTGGTAATGTGTAAGACAAATCTGTAGTGATCAGAATATTCTAACCATTGGCAAAATCTGAAAAAGTAATAGCAACGATGAGTCTTTCAGTTACTGGTAACTAGAAAAGTCAAATTTATTTCATTTTTGGGTGGCAGGGGTTTCTTGGAGTACTTGACATCTGTGATATGGTGAAGTGGTCTCATTGTGTGGGGTAACACCTGAGGTTTGTTGTCTCATGGCCACGGAGATTAAGGACATGGACACCCAAAGGGTGAGGTTTAGAGCAGAAATTTAATAGGTAAGAGAAAGAAAATATCTTTCTGCTACAGACAGGGGTCCCAGAAAAAAGGGTTGCCTTTTTACAGTTTGGATACAGAGGCTTTTATAAGAAACCAATAGGGGGCTGGGTGTCTCATTTGCATAAGGCATGCATTTCTGGTAGTTCCACCCCATCCTAGTGTGCATAGGGGCCCTTAGCTTGAGTTACTCCATGTTGCTTTGTTTCCCCTTATTGCACATGTGCCACACATGTGCCAGGGGACAGAATTTTCCATTGCAGGCATGTCTGGGCAAGTCTCCTGTGTAGCCTTTCTTATCCACATGGCCATGGGGATGTCTTAGGCGAGTCCCCTGGGCAAGGTCCTTTATCTGTGCCTACAACATTATTTTTCAGGCTGTTCTTTTGTTTGAAAGAATTTAACTGAGGACCCACTGTAAAACCAAAGACCCACCCTAACTGTCTGACTGACCAGTTTCTTCCTTTGCCCTCTCTCACTGGTACAAGCTTTGGCCTCCAATATAAAACAAGCAAGTGAGGGTAGCTATCAGCAGGATTAGAGACACACATAGGAAATTATACCTTAATTTAGAAGAAATATGTGTGTGAAAACATGGAAACTAAGCAGTCCTGCCATAGAGTATGTATAAAACAGAATAAATTGTATTCCTCTACTGTTTATTTTATTATTTGTTTTATGATATAAATCTACAATAATCTACTCTATTGTTGGTAAACATCTTTTATAATAAGTCCTTTTAGAATCCCAACTTTAACAATAAGTATAAATTTAATAAAGCATTAAATATTAAACATATATCTCAAGTAATTTAATAAAGAAAAAGTATCTTGCACAGAGTTTTGTTGACATAATCATCCTCCAAGAGGGCTATAATATCACTGAAAACACAAAACAGAAGACAGATGAAAGTGAGACGGAGTAGCATCTACTTTAAAAATTGATGGTTATTTTAAAAACGTATTCTTGCAAGCCCTAATTTAACCTGCAGATACAGAAGGTGCAATTACATACTCCTCTGTGAATCATGAGTTTTTCTTATATCAGATGTTTATACTTCTAAATTAATTTCACTCATTTTTTTCAAAGTTCATTCGCTTACTGAATAAGGTTTACTCAAGGGTTTGATGTGCTACGTACTGCGGTAGGCATTAAAGTCTTTAAAGTAACATTAGGTAAATATTTAAGAGCTAACACACTGCAATCTTACTTTCTACCTATTGTTATTTAGTCTTTATTATATGCTGATCTTTCTACTTGTAATAGCATCTCCTTATCCCCTGAGAACTTCTCATTATTTAGAAATTTAGAAAAATATAAACAGAGAGAAATTTTACATGTAAGAGCCAGCTTAAACAAATATTACTAGAGATCACAGAGCATCCCACCAACCTAATTATTTTTATTCTAGAATACGGAAAAATATTCAGGTTTTAATTATAATATAGATGAATCATTTTGAAAATCAATTATATCATCTGCTGAAAGGATGATATATTTTGTGTTGAATTTTCATAGATTTTTGAGAGAAGATGACAACGAATGATACTCAAAGGTGACACACCATTTACCGTAGATTATTTTTCTGGGTCTGATGTGGGATTTTTTTTGATATATCATAGTTGTACATATTTATGAATTACTCATAATATTTTGATATGTGTTTATAATGTGTAATAACAAAGTCAAAGTAATTGGGATATCTATCACCTTGAACATTTATTCTTCATCTTGAAATGTTACAATTCTTCTATTCCAGCTATATATAAATATATAATAAGTTATTGTTAACTATAATTTTCCTACTGTATTATCAAATACTAAAACTTATTCCTTCTATCTAATTGTATTTTCGTACCACTGAAGCAACTTCTCTTCATCTCCCCCATTCATCCTTCCCTTTCCAGCCTCTTATTTTTTTTTTTTACTAAAAGTTTGCTTGTGCACATAAAAACAGAAGCAAGCATTGTTAATGGCTCCATATTCAACTTTGCAAATAGTTAAATGATACCAGTATATTAGTGATATTATCAAATGAAACATCTGCAAATAGAAAGTCAGTTAAGTTCTTCCCTGTCGTATAAGTAGTTTAATTTTTTTTTTCTAAGTGATGAATTCTAAGTCAAATTCCTGAAAGTTCATTTCCTTGAAGGTGAAATATCTGAAGTTATCATAAATAATTTATAAAATTTAAGTACAAATTCAGCAATAAAGGTAATATTAGTTATTAGAAGGGGATAATAGGCAATATAAATCTATGGAGCAGAAATATGCTTGGAATTGGTTGTAGCATAAAACTAATTCATAACTGTGTCAAAATAAGATGCAGTATTCTACTGTTCAAAATCAAATGTTAAGTGACCAAAATTTAGAAACTGCTTATATACACGATTAATGTAATACACTTGTTTTTTGTAATGAAATTGAGGTTGAATAGTTAAAATTATTCAGCATAACAGTATTTTCTATCTTTGTTACCTATTATCAATAAGAATGTAATGATATTTGAATTTTTAAAAGAACTACTTTATAAATCATCTTAGGTATCATACAATGATTGTTGAACTTATTTGTATACACATAAACATATTCTTAAATTTTAGGTGACTTTTGTTCAAAATTATTTGAAAATCTTTAATGAGAGCATTCAAGGAATTCAGCACAAAGGAGTTCATATCTTGAAGCTATAAATAAAATAAAAAATTATGGTAAACAGAGCTTATACACTTTGTGGTACTGATTCCTACTAAAGCAAGTAGGAAGTAACAAAAAAGCAAAAGCAAACAAAATGAAGGTGCAAATGTCCATGAGTTAATTCTGAAATTGCTACTTTGGAACATCTTAACCAGTGGAATTAATCCTTTGATTAACCATGTATTTTCATTTGGGTACACCTATATACCCTGTATTGCATTAGAAGGAGATCACAGGAGTTTGCAGTATCTAAATCCAGAATCCTTCAAAATAGTTGTAAATATACACAATTTGTTTGACAAGTTTTAGTTGCAAAAACATTTTTAAGAAAGTTTTTGAATCCTGGCAAAAATCTATGAAAGTACTGGGGCTTAAGTGTTTATATATTTAACTACAGAAATAGAATTGCAAATATCCTCTATATAGCAGAATTTTCTCTAAGCTTATATTTCCACATTTATAGTTACCATATTTTCTTAAGAATGTTATGGCATACAAGAACAGTCAATTAAAAATATAAACATTGTAAATTTGCTAATTATAAAATACAGCTTTAAATACTATGATGCCAAATGTTATGAAAAAATTAAAATTACACATCTATACAAAAATAAAATTTTTAGAAACATACTAGTGGTATAATATCAGAGAGGAAATCTAAGAAACTGAATTAAACATGCCAATATTATTTTTTAATGTATTGAATTGTATTATTGTAGCATTCAAATAATTCATATGAATACTTTCAAAATATTTTAATTTACTCAGTGTTGTATATGTTATTTTTAGAAAGTTTTAACTTCGAAAAGTTGTTTGAATAAAACATCTTATATGTTCATTGACATAATAAAACAAATTTTCTTGCTGATAATTTTTATTAAAAAATCTCTTTATAGACCCTCATTTATTTTCAGATGTGTTTAATATAATATAGTATGGTGAACATACTGATATAGAACTAAGTAACATCTTTGATGGTCCAACAACATAATGAACAAAACAGCCATTCATAAACTTTAGTAGGGATTGGATTTGGGCCCTGATATACCATGAATTTACAATGTAAGGAAGCTTAGTAGAGAGACCTAGTCTAGAAGAGCTGGATTTCTACTTGGCTTACGGCTTCTCCAGTGGGAATGTATATTGCCAAGTGACACTCACTGAGGGAAGGACCAGTGATCCCCAAAACAAAATCTATAAAACTCTCTAAATACATATGTATGACAACACTGTTTTGGTTATTACCTATTGCTAATATTTCCTGTAATTCATGTCCTCTTTTGGTTGAACATTCATGACCACACTGTCCTTAGAAAACCTGAACTAGTTTCTGAAAACTTCATTTATGGTCTAGATTACTCAAACTTAACCTGTTCCTATGATATTCAAATTAATGCTTTCAGTTTGGTTCTGTGGGTCACCTTGTGTTGTTTAATTGACTTGATAACTGCTATGCTTGGGCCATACGACTCCTGTCTGAACTTACCTTAAGCTACCTGGGAGCTGTCTGTCACAAGGGTCAAATTTGAGGATTTAAAAAATTTTGTACTTAATATGCTCTATGTATTATACATTTACCATATCCTGAAAAAGCCATGGTCATCTGAGAATCTCATTTGTGGCAGACAGGAGGGACTGACCTCTTTTATAACTTGAGCTTATCAGTGTCCACTCTGCTAGCTGGCAGAACTAGTATTGGTTTAGCCTCTATATGAAGCTGAAGTCTTTCCAATTCCCAGTTTGTCTTTTCAAACTTAAAGCAGTCTATGTTACATATATTCATAGACTGAGGAGTCATGATGTGGTTGAGTGACCTCTTAACATAGTCCTCAGCCTGATTTTATATGAACCTTAGACTGTTCATAGCTGTTAATAAGTGACCTCTAGAGATAAACATCTTTAGGAAATAAACATCCCCAAGATATAGACACCTTTAAGACCTAAGATAAAATCCCAGGTCAGTGATTTGGTTTGGCTGTGTCTCCACCCAAATCTCATCTTGAATTTTAGCTCCCATAATTCCTATGTGTCATGTGAAAGACTGGGATGGAGGTAATTGAATAATGGCGGCGGGTCTTGCCTTTGCTATTCTCATGATAGTAAGTCTCATGAGATCTGATGGTTTTATAAAGGAGAGTTCCCCTGCCCACGCTCTCTTACCTGCTGCCATAAAAGATATGACTTTGCTCCTCATTCACCTTCAGCCATGACTGTGAGGCCTCTTCAGCCATGTGGAACTGTGAGTCAATTAAACCTCTTTCCTTTATAAATAATGTAGCCTCAGGTATGTCTTTATTAGCAGCGTGAGAACAGACTAATACAGTCAGCTTCAGTTCAGTCAAGAGCTTTATAAAGGAATCCGCAATTCTGAATGAAAACCCTTGTGTCAAATAAAGAACTTCGGTATTTTCTGGTATTTTCCAGATACTACTATTGTTGCACCCCCTCTCCTCTACCCCTGAAGAATTCTCTTATTTACTCTGAATGTTAGCTTTCCTGGACTTTGTGACTTGCTGGGAAGGATTTCCCTTGGAAGATCCTGTCCCCCATTTTCAGTATATGTCTCTCTTCACTTGCTCAAGTGAGGAGAGACATGGGCTTTTTAAATTTAACTGTTATTTTAACTTCTTTATACCTACCCATTACTAAATTTGTCAGTGTTCTAAAAAACAATTAAAAATAAAGCTTCAGGAAATCAATAATGCACTTCAGTTAGTAAGGACAATTCTGTGTCAAATGCCTTATTGTGTTTTGTTGGTAATAGTAAGTTTAAATAATTATTTAAACAAGGTCAAAGAATGATAAATCTATCTGTTCACAACTGTAAATATTTATTCAATTGCTGAGATTTATCTTGTGTCAGGGTTAAAAAGCAAGACTGCTCTTCTAATAGCCTACTATTATTTTAACGTATACATTTAGCTTGTTGCTAAAGAAAATAGGCTAAAGGATTTTTATTTATTTATTTATTATACTGCTATTCGACAACTCTAATGGATGCTTCAAGGGAACACTGAATTCCTGCATAAAATTTTGTAGCATATTTTATGAGTTGACACATTGTTTCGAGTAGTAAGCTCAATGTTGCGTGAAAGGCATTGTATGTGTGAGTTCTTTGTGAACTGGAAAGCCATAAAAATCAGTTTATTCCTTTTTTTTTTAACAAGTGTTTCTGAAAGAAAATACTAATGTTACATTTGGATAATTTAAACAAAAGTGAAGTTTGCTTTAACGATAGCATCAGCCTTCAAGAAAAAAGACTTATTCACAGATATAATATCTTTGTCAGCTTTATTGATCTTAACTAACAATAACAAAGATAATGGAAGGTTTTTTAGAGTATGAAAAATAAACATATCGGGGCTGATTTATTTTTTAAATAACTTAAAAAAATATTGCTTCTGTCATATCATCTGTTCCAATAACATTTCTAGTTGACATTTATATTGGAAGTAAATTTTAACCTGTAAAATGTCTCTGAAATCCATTCAGAAATAAAATAATACTATCTACATTTATTTGGCTATTGAATTTTTGTTGCCATTATAGTGTGATTCCTTAGAACAATGCTATGCAAAACACTTTCAGTTTCTTCAAGGCACGTAGTGCTACACAGTAGGAGGGCTAAAACAATTTATGAACTTGAAAAGTCAAAACACTGAATTAGAAAAACAATGAAGAAAAAGAAAAAGCAAATTAAGGACACAAAGCAACAATCACACCATGAGCTTTTAGAGTAGGGTACGCAATAACATACAGCTTTTGGTTTTTGAAAGACAGTGATAAAATAGAGGGTATATAATTAAATCCTAAATCAGGAAAAAACAAGGCATTTTCTGTTTATTTGGGATTGTCTTTTCCTTTTATGTTTTGAGTCACATTTCAATACCTTATCAAACAGCAGTATAAACAGTCTGAATTATATAGTGAGCAATACCTAATTGAAAATGCGATTTTATCCATGTTAATAGGATAACATATAAATTAAATTCAGGAAATTATTGGGTCTGTTACCCACAAAATATGGAAACACAGGATCATAATCATGTAATTTAAGGTCATAAAAGGCATCTGGTCTCAATCTTCAGCATATAAAGTTATTTAATTTGTTCATTGAAGACTTGCATTCCTTATTTTGAAAATATCTCATTTTTTCATAATTAAAGATAAATAATCCTTCTTATACAAAAAAATCAATGTTTAAAAGAAATGTAAAAGCCATGTGTTCTTTCTAACTAAAAGTTATTTAGAATATTTTCAAAACAGATCACTTACGAAATTTTATTTTTAAGTAAATAGTATTTTTCTCACTTATAAGTGGGAGCTAAACTACAAGGATGCAAAGCTATAAAATGATATAATGGATTTTGGGGACTAGGGAAGAAGAGGTTGAAGGATAAAAGACTATCTTTTGTGTACAGTGTACACTGTTCCGGTGACAGGTGCACCAAAATCTCAAAAGTCACCACTAAGGAACTTATCCATGTAACTGAAAACCACCTGTATCCCCAAAACTATTGAAATAAAAATAAAAATTAAAGAAAAAGAATAAATAGAAGATTTTGCAAGGCAATAATTTTAAGATCTTTAAGTGTAAAATTTTGATATATTTGTCTTAAAAAATTCTCTAACAAGCAAACCACAAATATCTACTATTCTAGAAAGGTTTTCTGTTTAAGCTGGGGTTTTTTTGTAATTACAAACTTTACATTTTGATGTTGAATAAAAATAAATACTTCTATTTCATTCAGCAAGCGATTATTAGTCCACATGAGAAATATAATGTCTTATAATTAATTAAGAGTAGCTTTTAAAAAAGATTTTAAAATGTTTTTAAGGAAGTAAATTAATAACAGTACCAGGCCATTTAAATAAAAATAAAAATTAAATAAAAAGAATAAATAGTAAGCTTTGCATTTTAAGATCGACTGTAATGACATTCAACTTGCCATTTTAATTTTATACTTCTTAATCTTTTTATTTTATGATAATTTTTAACTTACAGAAACTTGCAAGAATAGAGCAAATCATTTTTTTTTCTTTCCAACTTTCATTTTAGGTTCGGGGGTACATGTGCATGTTTGTTACATGGGTAAATGGCATGTCCTAGGATTTGGTGTACAGATTATTTCATCACCCAGGTAGTGAACATAGTTTGTTACATGGGTAAATTGCATGTCCCGGGGATTTGGTGTACAGATTATTTCATCACCCAGGTAATGAGCATAGTTTGTTGCCTAGGTAAATTGCATGTCCTGGGGATTTGGGGTACAGATTATTTCATCACCCAGGTAATGAGCATAGTACTCCACTGGTAGTTTTCCAATTCTCACCCTCCTCCCACTCTTCACCCTCATGTAGGTCCCAGTGTCTATTGTTTCCTTCTTTGTGTCCATGTGTACTCAATATATAGCTCCCACTTACAAGTGAGAACATGTGCTATTTGGTTTTCTGCTCTTGCATTAATTTACTTAGGATAATGGCCTCCAGCTGCATCCATGTTTCTACAAAGGACATGATTTTATTCTTTTCTATGGCTGCACAGTGTTTCATGGTGTATATGTACAACACTGTCTTATTTTCCCCCATTTAAAATTCCCTTGTTTTTAACTTTTATTTTAAGTTCAAGAGTACATGTCCAGGTTTGTTACCTAGGTATACTTGTGTTGTGGGGGTGTGTTGTACAGATTATTTCATCACCCAGGTATTAAGCCTAGTACCCATTAGTTATTTTTCCTGACCTTTGTGCTCCTTCCACGCTCCAGCCTCCAATAGACCTCAGCCTGTGTTGTTTCCCTCTACGTGTTCTCGTCATTTAGCTCCCACTTACAAGTGAGAATATGCATGTGGTATTTGGTTTTCTGTTCCTGTGTTAGTTTGCTAAGGATAGTGGCCTCCAGCTCCATTTATGTTCTTACAAAGGACATAACCTCTTTCTTTATTTTCTTTATCCAGTACACCATTGATGAACATTTAGGTTGATTTCATGTCTTTGCTATTGTGAATAGTCCTGTAATGAACCTCCGTGTGCATGTGTCTTTAACGTAGAATGACTTATTTTCCTTTGGGTATATATTCAGTAATAGGATTGCTGGGTTGTTTTAAGTTCTTTGAGAAAGCTCCAAACCACTTTGCACAGGGGCTGAACTAATTTACATTCCCACCAGCAGTGGATAAGTGTTCCTTTTTCTCCTGTAACCTTCCCAGCATCTGTTATTTTTTTACATTTTAATAATAGTCATTCTGACTGCAACTTGCCATTTTAAATATAAACTCTTAAAGATCAATTAAAAATACGTTATTACTTTAAGAATATCTGAAACACCTAAAATTTCCAGTAACTGCTGCTGAGGGACAATGACCATTCAATGGCCATAGCATTGTGCAAGCATGTTTTTCAGGGACATCTGAATATAGACTCCAATAATTTTCTCACATAAGGATGTTTTCTTGTTGATGCTGAATTTTACTCAAGAACCAGAGAGCCCAGCATTTATTATTATCAGCATATCTTCTGCATTATTTATGTGAGTCCTTCCTGAATGGATATCTAAATGCTAAATATAAAAAGGCGATACAAAAACCATAATTGATCTTTCTAGATCTGGTGAGACACTATTTTGCACATTTGCATCACTGGAAACCAGGTTTCTTCTCTTAGGGCCCCTGGTAACCAAAAGAGACTATGCTAAATATCCTGCATCTGTGGCCATCTTCTTTCCAGTTTTAAGTTTATAGAATAAGTATATATCTGTAGTTTTCATGCTAATTCACAGTATTTTTCTCCAGGTGTTGAGTGGATTATACTATAGGGTGACAGCACCCTCCCAATGCAACTTCTTCATGGTTTGAGTTGAAGCTCAGACTTAGTGAATTTATTGACAATGTGAGAAGTGACAGGTATAGTTTACTGGTGCATCAGGCTCTCCATCATTCCCTTATACTTGAGTTTTCTGCATCTGTAGGTCCTTCACCTCTTTATCTACACACTTAATTATACTGAGTAGCTTTCTGATTAAGATAGTAATATTAGTTCGTGATCCAAAACAATGAAAATTGGGAAGTAAAACTACATGGAAAGAAAACCAATAACTTGTAAAATGAATGCAGATAGAAAACAAGTTTTTAAATAAACAAAAAACGTACTAACAGAAACAATAGGATATATTAGCAATATGAGAGAATAAGAATTTATAATTAAAAGGCAAGTATTAATATGAAAATGATATAGTAAGTGATACCAGAGCCTAAACAAATGGTAGAATGTATAAAGCAAAAAGACTATTTTTCAATTTAAAAAACCAGGCTGAGAAATAGCCACAGAAGTAAAGATAGAAATATATATATATATATATATATATATATATATATATATATATATATATTTATGAAAGAAGAGTTTAAAACATATGGAAGATAGAAATTCCAAAATTCAAATAACAGAAATCCTGGAGAAATAAAAACAAAGAATGAAGAGTTAGAAATATTTGAAGAAACATGGGAGATATAGTTTATAAAATATAATTCAGAAATAAATGTATAGACATTAAAAAATAAACAATGTCTGATTGAAAAAAATTATCAAGTGCTATTAAATAAAATTTATGGGATACAGTTGATTTGGACTAGGCTTTTGCACTAAGCCTAAAAGGCCAAACCAATATAAAGTTAAACTACAGTAGCTGAGCTCTACTTAATTGCAGGAGGCTTTGTACCCAATTAAGCTGTAACTAATTAAGTTGTATTTACACCACACTTTCATTTCCTATAAATGCTGTCAGATCGTGTTATTGGTTGGAGTTCTCTGAACTTGCTTTGATTCAGAGGACTGCCCATTTAAGAATTGTTTATGTTTTGTTTGCTTTGATTTGCTCTGGTTTGTATTGTTTTCCTTTGCTCAAACTCAGTTAAAATTTAACCCTCATCTAAGGTATGTTTTCTGTTTACAAGTCCCAAAGAGTATTAAGAAAAATAAAACTTATTATTAAAACTTAGTGAATACAGAAGACAATGGAAAATGTGTAAAGATAATTCAATAAGAAAGAACAGAACTACTACAGAGCATTAGACTTCTTAACTAAAGCACTTTCCAGATGAAATGGAGGCATATTTTTGATGATTTGAAGGATAGGAAATTTGAAACTTAAATTTAATTTTTAATGAAATCGTCATTAAAATATGAGCACATAATTTAAATATTTTTAGGAATTAAAGACCACAGAAGATTTACCACATAAAACATAAAAGTCATAAGCAAAACCTTTTGAGTGAATTATTTAAATACAAAGAGGAAAATACCTCCAGGTAACTTATGAACTTATGTCAGTAAGTTTAAACAAATATCTTGACAAAATTGGCTATCTAAAAATGCATACATACATATGTAGGTACACACCTAAGAGAAAAGAAAAAAGAGAGAGTCTCCATAACAAATCAGCCTTAATATCTATAAAATATTCACATAGCACCAGTATGAAAGGTGAGTGAGTCCTAGGATACGGACATGAAAAGATAATAAAATTTGTGGTTTTTGAGGATGACATAGATCACTTTTAAGGTATGCTATTTAAAAGAGATGCAAATAAAAGCCAAGAGAATGAAAAATTTGTATATGGACAGAATAAAGATATAATGAGACAATACTAACCAAGAATGCTGGTGTAGGGATATAGATACAACAACTTTTACACGCAAAACTTGTCAGGAAAATAACACAATTCTGAATATATATTGTAGTAAATACTGAGTGTGCCAACGATCCTTCATCTTCAGTGCTGAAGCACTAAGCATCCTGTTAGAAATACTAGTAGCAAACAGCTTGCAGGTGAATTCACCTGATTATTGCCCTCAACTGAAGAGTGTTGACTTGTCTGAATCCACACCCACAACCAATGACTGGTCAATGCAAAAGCAGAAAAGCTTGAATTCCTTGTCTTAATTTGGGTATACTCTGCAGGGCCCATCCTAGCATCAGAGCTTCTTGTGGAATTGACTGAGGCCTTTGTTATGACCACATCACAGCTACTTGCTCCCTGCGCTAGTGATAATATTAAGAGTAATTCCTGAATGCAAATCTCCATCTCCGAGTCTCCTTCATATGGGACTTGAACTGCAACAGTTGGTGCCTGGGTTGCTACCAGAAAGCAGATGCTAACATGATACTTTGGAACTGATCACTTGTGACCCAGCAAGCAATAAAAACTCCATCACTGATGGTAGATGGAACCCTGAGGGCACATGACACATGGTGGTATGCCAATGGTTAAAACATTTACTTCTGGTGAATTAGAATGGTGTACCACAGAAGGGTATGCACTAGCTAGGGCAATGCATCAAGGATATGGTTAGTCTAGGGGCAATAATAGTCACAAGCATGATGGAAATAGGTGGCTGTTTCTGGGGCAATTGATTTTTCAAAAAGATACAATTGATGACAGCAATGGGCCGTCCAGGGCAGCTACTACCATGATGCTGACTGGAGCAGAGAGGTGCGAGAGATGATGGCAGAAGTGACTGCAGGAGCAAGGATGGTGTTATTAGGTGGTGGGATGTTCCCTGTGCCCTGCATCCCTGAGGCAGCTGACTGTGCCACCCCCACCCTCTCATGGCTGGACAGGACCCATTCCCAGGTCTGGAACCTCCACCATGGCCTCAACCTCACTCCCCACCACATCCTGGAGGCCTGCGAGCATCTGGCCAAAGGTGCAGCCAGGACTCGTGGGGCTGCCCCTGGAAGCATCAGGTTCATTTGTATGGGGTTGGCTGGGGCCACCAAGACACTTGCACCTCACCCACTGCCCTGGGAGCCGCAGCAATGGAGCTGAGCCAAGTCACCCACCAGCGGGGGAGCAGTGCAGTTGTTCACAAAAGGGCAGGCAGAGCAGGGCCCTGAGGTAGAGCTGGGCCTGAGAGGGTGCCATGCTCTGCAGAGCCAGTGGGAGCTGGGAGCAGGCAGGAGCCCTGCCCTCCTGGGCATGGCTGCAGCTGCCCAAGTTGCAACTGAGGACCCAGGCATCTCTGCACTCTTGGGGGCCCAGGAAGGTCCCTTCTTGCCCCTGTGGGTTTGGAGATGTCTGCTCCTGCTGCCTGGCCTCTCTCCACTGTCAGTGCCCACTCTGATCACAGAGCAAAGTTGAGGCCAAGCCTGGGTGCTGTTGCAACCTGGCCAGATGTGCACATCCTCAGGGCAGTGCTGATATGCCAGCCCCCTGCCATCTTGGCCCCCTCCAGACTTTGGGTACCAAGGAGCATGGGGGGGAGCCTAAGGAGGGGTTGAGGGCAGCTCAGCGCTGGCCTTCAGGTGCCCCTTGGCACAAACAGCCTGGGCATCACAGATGGCAGCACCCTGGGTGCAATGGGGTGGGTCCCTGGTGAAGCCCCACCTTCAAGCTGGGGAAAGCCTGAAGTCTGGGGGCTGTGCTTCTGGTCCCATGGACCAGAGGGGAAACTTGTGGTGCCTTTTCTGGGCCTACCCATGGCTGCCCATGGACCAGTTGGTGCACTCTTCTTCCCCTCTGAGGCCCATAAAAGTCCCAGACTCAGCCAGACTCGAGGAGATGATGGGACAACCAGCTGCAGAGAGGAACTACCCTCACTGGGATGACCTGTCCAACAGAGAGGAGCTATCCCCTCTGCTGAGAGCTGAGGAGACAATGGCCGACCAGCTTCAGAGAGGAACTACCATCTCTGCTGAGAGTTAGACACTCATTTGGATGATCTACCTAGCAGAGAGGTGCTACCCTCTCTGCTGAGAGCTGAATACTCATTGGGACACCCTGGCTATGGAGAGGAGCTGCCCACTGAGCGTCTCCTCTGAGCTGTTCTATTGCTCAATAAAGCTCCTCTTCTCGCTCACCCTCCACTTGTCTGTGTACCTCATTCTTCCTGGATTCAGGACAAGCACTTGGGACCTGCAGAATGGCAGGGCTAAAAGGGCTATAACACAAACAGGGCTAAAACATGCCCCTTGTCTGCCAGGTTGTGGGTGACAAGAAAAAGAGAAGAGAGAATGAGAGAAGAGCTGTGGCCCTTCAGGGAGCCCAGACCTATGAGCTCCCCAAACCAGGGCTGTGACACCTTCTTTAGGACTTTTCAGTTCCTGGTGTCTCCAAGCTTCTGGGTGCCACATTGTGATCCCCACCATCAGCTTTGGAAGCTGCTTATAGTATGCCTGGTCAGCCACAGCCTTGCAGGGAGCCAGCGCCCATGCCCATGCCTGGACCTGCCTGCCCTGCTGCGGCTGGCATGCCTGGCTGTGTGCAGTGCTTGGACCCCACACTTATTCACACACCCTTTGCCACTCTGTACCTGGCTTGCCCTTGTCAGGCATGGGATCCAGGCCAGCAGTGGGAGCTGAGTGCAGGCTGTGAGGCCGAGTGTGTGGAATGAGCCCAGTGGGCCAGAGCAGAAACTTGGGCAAAGGCTCTGCTGGCCACAGAGGTTTCTGGCTGGTGAAGCAACACCCTAAGGATCCTGTAACACAATGAAAGGTCAAGGGTAATTAATCACAATTAAAGTATAAGTGTGAAGGATAGAGTGAGAAATACCACTTAAGGAAAGTCTACTTTTTTTCTTTATGAAAAGATATTCCCTTTCTGATGCTTAGTTTTATCCAAGAACAGGGAGAGCACAAGGTTAATAAAAATGTCCTTAAACAGAAGTGTTTCAACTATTGGTGTAAGTTATTTCTGTCTGGTGATTCAAGATGTGAGTCAAAAGAGGAAATTTGATAGTAACAGTTGATCTTACCTTGCACAATACATGTCACCAGCATCTGTGTTCCTCTTGTTAGGGACTCTGGGGACCAAGATAAATTATGCAGAAAATTGATGCATCTAATTCTGCCCTAAGCTGTCACTTCACATCTGATAACAATTTGTACTTGAAGAAAATTATTTTGGAAAGTTAGCATAACCTTTTACTCTGTGCAAGTGTATAATTTTGCTATCAATCCATAATGTACCTGATACTCTGAGGCTAAAATTTTACATATTACTCATTGAAATGTTTACTCGGAACTTTGTGCATATTAAGTTAAATTTTATTTTTATACACCCATTTGCAATGAATTCAAGCAAACATTTATAATTACTTGTCTTGTAGAGATCCAAGTGTCCCTCTTTGCCAGCTGTTAACCTGAGGCCAGACTAATATAATTAGTTTTGTTAATTACTTCTAGTTCTTCAGGAATAATTGAGATTATTGCATCCTTACTTCACTCTAGAATTAAATTGATGGATTCTTCTCATGTGAGAACTTGTGACCTTTAAGTCCACCTACTCAAAATTTGTTCTGGAACTAATTAAATATATATATTTTTCAGTCTTCCTTATCTATAGAAAAACATAATAATCAAAATGCTCCAAAGCACGCTTAAATGAAAGATACTCAAGTATGTTACTCACAGTGAGGTCATTAGTTTTAAATATTTCTGTTTTTGTGTGTCTGTGGAGAAAGTTTCTCTCTAAGACACGTGCACATTGATTTATGAAATGCACAGATAGTGATAGATAGCCCTAAAATACTTAAGTTTTGTCAGTGTCTCTCAGTGTCAGTGCACATGTACTTATGTAAATAACTACAGTTTCAGTTTATATTTCAAATACTCTCTCAAGTCAGTAAGTGTATAATCAGCATTTAACCATAGCTTTGTTAGAATTTTTCCCTCATTATTCTTGGAATTGTATATAGAAGTATTTAATAACATTGACTTTGATATTAGATATAACTGAGTTTTCTTGTCTCTCCTACTTATTAGATGGATTTCTGTGGACTAGTTGCTTAATCTTGAATCCCCTTATTTTTCATTTAAATAATTGGGATGATGTATATCATTTTTAACTGACTAAAAAGGATAATCAATATAACTTGGTAATCTAAACATCAAAAACATCCAAGAAAATATAATAATTCAAAAACAATTATGAGTAGCCTTTATAGAAAATGAAACACTACAAAAATTGAAAGACGGCCACATGCGGTGGCTCACGCCTGTAATCCCAGCACTGTGGGAGGCCGAGGCAGGTGTATCACTTGAGGTCAGGAGTTCGAGACCAGCCTGGCCAACATGGTGAGACCCCGTCTCTACTAAAAATATCAAAATTAGCACTATAAACTTTTTTCTTAACACTGCATTTGTTGTGTTCCAGAAATTCTCGTATATTGTATCTTTGTTATCATTAGTTTCAAAAAATGTCTTGATTTCAATCTTAATTTCATTGTTTACCCCAAAGTCATTCAGGAACGGGTTGTTTAATTTCTATGTAATTTTATGGTTTTGAGCGATCTTATTAGTATTAATTTCTACTTTTATTGCACTACCATCTGAGCATGTGGTTTGTGTAATTTGGGGGTTTATTTTGACATTGTTGAGTTGTTTTTAGCTGATCATATGGTCAATTTTTGAGTATGTACCACATGCAGAGGAGAAGAATGTATATTCTGCTGTTGCTGGGTGAAGTGTTCTGTAAATGTTTTATATGTCTATTTGGTTTAGTGTCACATTCAGATCCTGAATATCTTTGTTTATTTTCTGTCTCAATTATCTGTCTACTATTGTCAGTGGGGTGTTGAAGTCTCCCACTATTATTATATGGTAATCTTAGTTTCTTCATTGGTCACTAATAATTTGTTTTATGAATCTGGGTGCCCCAGTGTTGGATGCATACATATTTAGGATAATTAATTCTTCTTGTTGATTTGAACTCTTTATTATTATGTAATGCTCTTGTCATTTTAGAATTATTGTTGCTTTAAAATCTTTTTTGTCTGAAATTAGAATAGCATCCTCTGCTCTGTTTATTTTCCATTTGTTTGTGATATTTTTCCCTATTTCCTTACTTTGAGACTAGGAATATCATTGCATGTGAGTTGGGTCTAAGACAGGATACATTTTGATCTTGCTTCTTTATCCAACTTGCCACTTTATGCATTTTAAGTGGGGCATTTAGCTCATTTACATTCAAGATTAATATTGATTTGTGTAGATTTGGTCATATCATTGTGCTATTAGCTGGTTGTTATGCAGATTTGACTGTGTATTTGTTTGCAGTGTCAGTAGTCTATGTCCTTAAGTGTATTTTTGTTGTGGCCAGTAGTGATCTTTAATTTCCATACTTAGCACTTCCCTGTGATTTCTTGTACAGCAAGTCTGGTGATAATTAATACCCTTGGCATTTGGTTGTCTGAAAAGAATGTCATTTCTCATTCACTTATGAAGCTTAATTTGCCTGGATACACAATTCTTCGTTGAAATATATCTTCTTTAAGAATGCTGAATATAGGCCCCTAATATCTTCTGGCTTGTAGGGTTTATGCTGAAAAGTCCATTCCTAGCCTGATGGGATTCCCTTTGTAGTCAACCCACCTCTTCTAAGTAGCTTTCTTTAATATTTTTTCTTTTGTGTCCACCTTGGAGAATCTGATGAAAATGTATCTTGGTGGCCAGGGGTGGTGGCTCATGCCTGTAATCCCAGCACTTTGGGAGGTTGAGGTGGGTGGATCACCTGAGGTCAGGAGTTCGAGACCAGCCTGACCAACATGGTGAAACACCGTTTCTACTAAAAATACAAAAATTAGCCAGGTGCTGTGGTGCCTGCCTGTAATCCCAGCTACTCTGGAGGCTGAAGCAAGAGAATCACTTGAACCTGGGAGGCAGAGGTTGCAGTGAGCTGAGATTGTGCCATTGCACTCCAGCTGCCTGGGCAAGAAGAGTGAAACTCCATCTCAAAAAAAAAAAAAAAAAAAAAAGAAAGAAAGGAAACATGTCTTGGTGATGGTTGTCTTGTATAGTATCTCCCAGGGGTTTTATGCATTTTCTGGATTTTGATATTGGTCTCTCTAGTGAGGTTGTGGAAATTTTCATGGACAATATCCTCAAGTTTTTTTTGTATTGTGTTGTACTGTATTGTATTTTATTGTTTTGTTTTCATTGCTTATTCTTTCTCCCTTTCTTTCATGGATGCCAATGAATCATAGGTTTGGACTCTCCATAATTCCATATTTGTCAGAGGTATTTTTTATTCCTTTTATTCTTTTTTCTGTACTTTTGTCTAACTGAGTTAATTCAGAGAACCAGTCTACAAGCCCTTAGATTCTTTCTTTAGCTTCATCTATTCTGCTGTTAATACTTGTGATTGTGTTATAAAATCATTATAGTGAGTATTTTTAGCTCTATCAGTTCAGTTTGATTTTTTTTCTTAAAATGGATATTTCATCTTTAAGGTCTTATATTATGTTATTGAATATTTTGTATTCTGTGGATTGAGTTTTGACTTTCTCCTGAATCTCGATGATCACCATTCCTATCTATATTCTAAATTCTGTCTGTCATTTCAGACATTTCAGCCTGGTTAAGAACCATTACTAGGAAACTAGGGCAGTTGTTTCTTTGGAAGTAAGAAGACACTCTGGATTTTTGAGTTGCCGGAGTTCTTGTGTTGGTTCATTTTCATCTGTGTGGGCTGATGTTCCTTTAATCTTTGAAGCTGCTGTTCTTTGTATGGGTTTTTATATTATAGGATACCCTTTGGGGTTTGACTATGGTATAAGGTGGCTTCAGTTGACTAGCTTCATTTCTGGACTATTTCAGGGGTCCAAAGCTCAGGTCAACACTCCAGGGCTGCATGCTATAACCTTGAATGACTGGTATCAGGTCCCCATATTTGTTCTCTGGCCCCTAGAGGTTAAACGCTTGCTGTGCTGGAGGAGCCAATGAGTTCTCTGTCTGCTGGCCACAACACTCTGATAGGGAGTGCCACCCCAGTGGGTGTGGTGGCACAGCAGGATATATGCATGTGCTGGTGGGGTGGTGGTGGTGGTGCTTATACAGGGTTGGGGTTGTGGTGTCCACAAATGCGAGTGTATAAACAGCAGTGTCAGCTCAGTGTGGTGTGCAGGCCTCAGCAAATTTGGGGTGGCAGCATTCGCATGTATGCACGTGCCAGTGGCAGCTGTTTGCTTGGTGTATGTGTCAGCCGAGTGGAGCAGTGAGGTGCTTGTATGCACACTGGCAAAGCAGTAGGGTGGGGCTGTTGGCAAGTGCGCACCAGCAAAGTGGTTGGGTAAGGCTGGAGTAGGGGGAGGCTGCAGGTGGTTGGGTGCATGTCCACAGGGAACCATCTGCTTGAATCCCTGATGGTCAGGTTCAGTCTGTCAGTGAAGGAGCTATGGCAGTGACTGTCAAGACGTACCCTGGTTGGTCATCTGAGGTTGTGCTGCAAATGGGTGCAACCATGCAGGGACCCTAGGAGAAGTCAATAGACAAGGGAATGCTCAAATCAGACTGGCCCCATTCCATGGACATGACCACCCTGCTCTGTTGAATTTTGATAGTCAAGCAAAGCCAAAGCCACCTAGAGGAGCAAGGTGAACCTTAGGGTTTGGGCCTTTCTGTCCATGCTCCCTTTTAGCCATTCTCAAGCCAAACTTTCTGGGCTCCATGCAGGCTGGAGTACTGTCTTTGCTACATCTCGAAACAGCTTTCCCTGTTTGCGAATTAAATGCAAATTAAAACCACAATGAGACCATCTCACCCTAGTCAAAATGGCTATTGTTATCATATTTAAAATAACAAATGCTGGTAAGGTTGCAGAGAAAAGGGAGTGCTTATACCCTGCTGGTGAGAATGTAAATTAGTTCAACCAGTGAAGAAAGCCGTTTGTCAATTTCTCAAAGAACTTAGAAAAGAACTACCTTTCGAGCCAGCAATCCCATTATTGGGTGTATACTCCAAGGAATATAAATTGTTCTACTATAAAGACACATGCACACATAGGTTCATTGCAGTGCTATTTGCAATAGCAAAGGCATGGAATCAACCTAAATGCCCATCAATGGTAGACTATATAATGAGAAAATGGTTCATATATACCACGGAATACTACACAGTCATAATAAAAAATGAGATTATGTTCTATACAGCAACGTAGATGCAGCTAGAGGCCATTATCCTAAGTGAAGTAACAAAAGAACAGAAATCCAAATATCACATGTTCTCACTTCTAAGTGGCAGCTAAACATTGAGTACACATGGATACAAAGGAAGGAACAATAAACACTGGGGCCTACTTGAGGGTGGAGGATGGGAGGAGGATATCAAAAAGCTACCTATTTATTACTATACTTTTATCTGGGTGATAAAATAATCTCTACACCAAACCCACTCAACATACAATTTACCTGTATACAAACCTGAACACATACTCCTGAAACTAAAATAAAAGTTAAAAAAATTAAATTAGAAAAATATAAGAGTAAAATGCTATTTTAAAATATTCAATGTAAGCAAATTAAGATTTTAATGTATATTCTCTATAAATTTAAATAATCAAGGGTGACTTTTTATGTTTATTCTTTGAACCAATGAGACCAAATGCAATTAAGTTGAAAATTGTATTGCAAACATTTCTCAAATCCAAAAATATATTGATACTAGTTCAGTTTTTTTAAAGTTGACACACTATTATGGAATTTTAAATAAATTTAATTTGATTAGCATATATAACACACATGCAAATTTTGAAATAACATTGAAATTCAGTCATACACTTTCATCATTTTCAGTGTTATGGCTAATCTTATGAGAGAAATAATAGAGTAGATTATTAAGTGGCTTCATATATATTTCCTCCCTTTGGAATCTGAGTCTCACTTCTGTGGTATTAGTACTTTCATCTGCAGAGAGCATAATGAGATTTACAAGTTACGAATGAAATTTATATGCCTGCTGAAGGAAAGCTATCTCATGTGTATAAAATGTACAGCAAGATGGCAAGAAATATTTAAATGAGGGTACTACAAAATCATACTAAAAAGCTTTGAAATTTGAGGACAAACTGTTTAATTGGTTAAAGCAGGATGTCCCCAGGATGTAGTTAATATTTATCAAGAGATCATGATTACTCTAAAATGAAGTTATAAGATTTGGTTTTGTTTTCAAGTATTTGAATTATTGATATGGCAGAAATTAATAAAAGTATGTGTCACATATTTCTCTCCCAGATCATAAGCAGAGTACCATTTATTTTGTAAAATAATAACGTTGCTGCTTTTTCACTCCCATAGTTCGGTGAGTGGGAGTGTTACAGCTCTTCTTTTACTCCCATAGTTTGGTGAGTTCTGAGTTCTTGTCCCATAACCAAGAAGAATGAGGTACACAGACACTAGAGAGTGAGTAAGGCAGAGTAGAATTTATTGAATGACAGAAAAGCTCTTGGTAGTGAGAGGGGACCTGAAAGTTGGTTGTCAGCTGTGAGGCTGAGTCTAGGGGTTTTTATGGACTTAGAATGGAGGAAATATGTGCTGACTGGTTTGTGGGTAGGCTTGGAAAAAACACCATTCAGAAGGAGGCACAAAAGGGTATAGAGCCAATTGGGGGAGGGTAGATATAAGTAAAATAGGTGAAAGATAAGGACCAATCAGGAGGAAGCATGCCAAATGGGAATGGGAGTTCTCACTCCAGTCCATGGATTTTATCTGGAGCTGGTAGCTTGGTTTTCAGGCTTTAGATGGTCCTTGGCTTGAAGGTTGAGTTTCACCAGAACCCATTCCTGTTTGCCTAGGAATTTGCCTGCCTCCTGTTGCTATCAATAATATCTATTTCAACAAGTATGAAGAGTTCAGGTCTATGTACTCAATAGGAATTTACTATGCTCTGACTGCTATTTATTGTTTTTCTGCTTTTGTTATGATGTAGGATTAGAAACAAAGAAAGTGAATTTTTAAAACATTAAGTTACCAAAATCTTAGATGGCTTGACATTTAACATTATGATTATCTATTTTCATTATGTAGATCAGTGGATATAGAAAACATCAGGAAAAATGAGTTAAATATAATTTAGTCTATGAATTGAAAATATCTGATATCCAAATGTTCTACACATATGCAAGTCTTGCTTATTACTGTTCCCTTTCCTGGGCGGTTTTCAGTGGTGATGGTTGGCACAGGAAGTATCTATTGGAACTTTTTCCCCAAAACTGCTGCTGTTAACCCCATCAGAGTAATGATATCCATGGTACTTCTTTATTCAAGTAACACTCTTCACATTTCTTGAAAGAACTGAGTCTGAATTAGGAGGTTATTTTGCTTTGCTTTAATATCAGGTCATTAAGTTTTGGATTTGATCCTGGTAACCTGTTTCTGATCACCCTCTGTCCTGCCTGTTTTGAAATTATTACCTTGTTGGCCTTATAGTACAGATAATGTGTCATACTCTTCTGAATGTCCCAGTAGACTATGCAGTTAATGGCCTGTCTAACAACATTCTGAGTGTTGATACACCAGAATTCACCATCCTTCCACTCCATGCATCTGTCACAAAAAATCTCACTGGTTATATTAGATCCTATAATGTCACCATACTTTTCAGATATAATGAATTTTTATCACCATGATTTGTACTGTACTAGCTGTCCCAGTGCTTTGCCTGTTCTATACAGTAGGTTTACCTGAAAATCTGCCTCTTATTCTGCCATGGGACAAAATGCTGAATTTTGGCAGAGTGCAATCAGGGTAGCAAGAAATGATGAAAACTTATCCATGACATTCCTATAAACTAGAAGAAGCAAATATTATAGAAAGGATTTTTCTCTTTTGTTTACATTTCCTCTTTGAATTTTAAAAACTTCTTCCCACACGATTTTTTTTTCAATTATAGTCAACAGCTCTTGGAAATGATGATATTTGTATCACTGAAAAAATAAATATATCAATGAATGAGTAAATAAATTGTTTTGGCTTATGTCACATAAGATACAGACTTTGAAATTACACTGGAGGATTTTTAGGTTAATTTTTCTATCTTCTTTGTGAACTGACATTCAGTTATCACCTTTTCCATCAACAACAGCAATATTCATGTACTTTTCTATAATTCTGATTGTCAGTTCTCACACATCTCAGCTTCACCCAACTGTCATTTCTTATTTGAACAAATGGTATTTCAATTCTGTTGGAGTTTATTTTAAGTTAGTTTTTATTATGAGCTATAAAATTGTATTTCCCATTTATATTCAAGTCTTCATTTCTCTCGCTCACTGAGCTCTATACTTCCTTTTTTTGAGATTTGGTAATACTCTTTGGCGGCGAAAAGCAAATAAGTATAGTTATCAAAGATTATTTTAATACATATAATTCAGTTCTTCCCCTTAATTATTCCTGCTTAATCTAGTGATGAGGTCAAAGCCATTTACACAGATGTAATTATCTATCTATATATAATAATTATAAGTTGTATATGTTATATGTAATCATTGGTATGTGTATATATACAGTCAGTCCTCATTATTTGTGAATTCATATTTGTAAATTTGCCAACTCACTTATATTTCTGTGTAACCCGCAAATCAATACCTGTAATACTCTAGCAGTTATTTGTGGACTGGCACAGAGCAACAAAAGAATTGTGTCACCCAATGTGCAGATTCTCAGCTGAGGCTGCCACTTTGCCTTCTTCTCTCACCTTTGATACTGTAACTCGTTTTGTGCTCGATTTGGTGCCACCTTTTTCACATATTTGTTGGTGATTTCACTTTTGAAAATGGCCCCAAGAACAGTGCTGAAGTGTTACAGAAGTCAGGCATGAGTTATAATACAGAATCCCAAAAATGTGACAAAAATGTGACCAGGGGATTGCAGTAACCTGACTCTGTATTTTGCCTAGGAGCAATGGTTCAGGATTCCCTATATCCATTTTTAAAGGACTTTGTAGACAATAACCACCATGTGTAATGAGGATTGACTATATATGCAGAGAGAATGAGACAAGGAACTCAGTCTTGGCTTATATCACTTGCTGTGGATTAATTGAGGGAAAACAAAGCAAATCTGTTTTCTACCTACATACCAAAAAGGAGAATGGAAATCTTAAGAAATCTGGGCTTTCCTTACTCCCAGTCTTCCCAACAACCAGTGAATAGATGTTATATTTTAGAAACATGAAGAGATAATAAATTCTTTCAGCTTTTAGGTGGAAGAGAAGACTAAAATCTTGAGTTTATGGACTTGAAGGGCTCAAAGGTAGATGTGGCTTCTGTGATACACATTGGGAAGTGGTCTCTAGTGGAAAGGTATTTTTGCCCAGGTTACACACAACAACCCAGTATGTGGCCAGGTCACTAATGTGATAGTGGGTGAATGCTTGAGGTATGAATACCAACCATCAATGGACCCAAAGAAGGTTCTCATGGTCAAATGTGGCACAGACAGAGTGGAGCTTATTTGTCATTGAACAAACGCTAATGGAAGCTTGGACAAATCATCTCAGAGCAGACTATAATAGCTTAAACATAAGAGACACCTCTTTCTCCAAATTTTAACTTTTATTGTATTATTTTTACATGCTTCTCAAGGCTTCCAAAACTTCTGTGGGGTACCAGTGGTTTCTAGGTTTATTGGAAAATGTTTAGCAAAATTATATACATGTGTACTTGTGTTTGCATTTGTCATTTAACTCCCTGTTTTACAAGGTTATTTTTTGTCACATTTCCTTTGGTCTGATCAACTTTAAAGCCAATCAATTTAAAAATCTTTTATTGAAAATATAGGGAATGAGAGCATTTAATGGAACCTCTGAAACTATAATATCTCTTGACTGAGCTCCACACACTATTATTGTTTCAAGTAGACCAGTTTAAAATCAAGCACTTTAAGTAGATCACACCTCCTCCAGTAAAACAAACAAACAAAAAACATAGTGATGTTTTGTGATTTTTTTCCTCTTAATTGGACCCAGTCCATTTCCTGGATGGTTTATTTTCTCATGTGACTCTGCTCAGTTTCTTTAGTGACAAACAGATACTGCTCAGTTTTAGTTAATGCACTCTTACTACTGCTTGTGGGCAAATGATTAATGTACAGTTTATAATCCCTATACTACAACTTCAGAAAAATAAATCCTTTGGTTCCTATCAGCTGCTAAATTAGAACTATAATGCTTTCAATTACTTTTCATGAATACTTGTTTAGTAGCTACTAAATACAAGGTAATGTAACATAGTTTATTTTCCCTATAGAATATTTTTCATTTTATATTTGTTCAGCTTATTTTAGAAATATGAAAACTATATTTGATGTTTCGCTCCTAATCAGGTAATCTCCATTCATTTTATTTTTAACGAATTTGAAATAATTCTCCATAAAATAATATATCTTTAAGAATATTGAAAAAGAGTAGCAATAACTATTGAAAAATGATAAACCATGCTTTATTCTAGTACAATGTATTTAAACAATAAAATATATCCACTACTCTTTCAAGCCCTTCAACTTCAGAACGTCATAAGCCACATAATACACACATACACACAAAGACACACACATGCACACATACACAAACACCAGGTATAGGTTTGAAAAGAAGCAAGATATTTAATGAAAAATTGTGTTTTCTCATTTTAGTCTATTTATCCAAATGGCAATGCTAATTTTTGCTACAGACCAGTTACTGTATGTGAAAATTCTTCTAAAATGGGCCTATATTTTCTTTAAATGTACGTATTTTTAATGTTAGAAGTGAGAATCCCACAGGAAATAATGAGCATTTAGAATAATTATTTCCTCGGAGGCCTTTTGATGTCCTAAGCACTCATGGACCATTTTTTAAAACACTGTTGTTTAAGGAAAGTGAACAAATATTAATTGTTCAATAGGCAAGTTCTGCAGTCTACTCTCTTTGCTTGACTTTAAGAACTGTTTAAAACATGTTGAGTAATCTTAGAAGTGGTGGGTTAATAATAAATTTCCTTAGCTTAATTATTTCATTCATTGTCAATTTGCATCATTATAGTTTAAGATTTAGTTCAACCTTTTTTAGTGACAGTAGAGAGTATTTAATGTCATGATAACCTTAAAACATCAAATTTAGCCATTTTATTTTAATTATTTCACTTATGGGAACATAGGCAATAGGGATAGGGCATCAATCCAAATTGAGACAAGCCAAGCCACAAGACTTAATGCCAGTTCTACAGAGATTCATTTCTCTTGGTATGTTGAGGTAAACACACTGTTCTTTTCTGTTGGGAAACAAGTCTTATACAAAGCAACTCATCAAATTGATCAGAGTCTTCCCATTATTGTAAAAGTTTATTCTTTTAGTGAGAGGCAAATATTTTAACATATTTAACATAAGCAAATTTTGACATACCTATCACATACATTATAATTATGACATCTTAAAAATTTAATGGATAAACTTAATCCCTGCAAGCCAGGTCTCACTATTTTAATTACTCTCTTAATTTCAGAAGATGGTTGTTAAGCAAATAGCAGTTATTTAAGTCAGCTAATATATGATATTGAAAGTAAATGTATATTTATATAACAATCACATCTAAAAATGAAAATAAATCACTTTCTATGAAAAGTATTAATAAAATCATAATGACTGATCTATAATACAATTTCATTGTCATGTATATTAACAGTACAAAAGAAGAAAAATATATTCGTGGTGACTTACAATATTATATACAAATTTTTGCTTTAAAGTACACTTTGATTGTTTTTCTCAATTTTTTCATTGAATTTTAAAAAATTTATTTGGCATGGTAGTGAAGGGATCATGACATATCTATAAAGAATGGAAAAATAAATATTTTAAATCTGTATTTGAATGAATTATGAATGTATTTTATCAATATTTCTTCATAATTATACTCTAATATTGTTTTTATTTAGTTGTAACAATAAAAAAAATGCTTTTTTACATTAATTTCCATGTAAATATATATGCTGCTTGGAAAGCACAAATATTTTTTGACACTCCCATGTTTAATGTAGCACTATTAACAAGAGCCAATGAATGGAAACCCACGTAAGTGTTCATCAGCAGACAAATGGATTTGAAAAATGTGGTATATATATACAATGGCATACTACTCAGCCTTAAAAAAAAATTCTGTCACATGTGACATCATGGATGAACCTAGAGGACATTATGCTAAGTTAAATAAGCCAGTCACAAAGTACAAATACCACATGATCTCACTTATATATAGAGCCTAACAAGTCAAATTCATAGAAGTAGAGAGTAGAATGGTGGTTAGCAGAGGCTGAAGGGTGGGGGTACACAGGAAAAAGGAAGATGTTGGTCAAAAGGTACAAACTTTCAGTTACACAAGAGAAAAAAATCTGGTAATATATTGGACAACATGGTGATTATAGTTCATGATATTATATTGTAGATCTCAAAATTGGTAGAAGACAGGATTTTAAATGTTCCCGCCACAAAGAAATAAGAAATATTTTAGGTGACGAATAGGTTAATTAGCCTGATTTTATTATTCCATAATGTATACAAGTATTAAAAGATCAAATTGTACCTTATTAATATATAAAGTTAATATTTGTCCATTGAAAGTCAAATAAAACTTAAAAAATAAGCACAGAAACTATAGATAATAGTGTCATACAATACTATATTTTAAAATATTTTGATTGCAGACATATACACCTATGTAATAAGCTAAATATGATTTTGCTCATAAAATGTCCTATTTAAATAAATGCCTTAATATTTTCAATTGTATTAAAACTATAAATACATATAAATCTTAGCAATTATTTCACTAAGTTTATCTTGTATTTATTTTGTGACTGTGCCAGGACAATTTAGGCAACATGGAACAGTTAGAATTCAATTTGTGAGATGGTCACCTCTTTTAACAAATTTATTCTGTGCAGCACACTTAGGAGTAGGTAAATGCTGGTGCATGGGTTAAGATACAAAAGTGATTATTTTAATGGAATGCAAAAAGTGTTTCCCTGGCTCTGCGGAATTGCATTTTAAAGGCACCCAAAGAGCTTTCCTTTGAGAAATCAGAAGAAATTCTTTCAAAGACTTCCCAACTTTCAAAGTCTTTAAACCTAGCACCATTATCAAATATCCCCACAAATATTTTGTATACCTTTATTAAAATGTATTACAATTCAGAAATGCTGTTTAATCAAATTAATTTAAATCTTCAGAACAACTTCTGCAGACTCTTTAAAATATTTTTTTTTTTCATTGTGCCTTTTCCTGGTTTTGGTATTAGAGTGATGCTGGCTTCACAGAATGAGTTAGGGAGGAGTCTCTCCTCCTTGACTTTTTGAAATAATTTCAGTAGGATGGGTTTCAGCTATTCTTTTTATATCTGATGGAATTTGACTGGGTATCCATCTGGTCTTGGGCTTTTTTTTAGTTAGTAGGTTTTTTATTACTGATTCAATTTAAGCACATGATATTGGTCTGTTCAGGGTTTCAATTTCTTCCTAATTCAGTCTGGGGAGGTTATGTGTTCCTGGGAATTTATGCATTCCCTCTAGATTTTCTAGTTTGTTACATAGGAGTGTTTATTGTAGTCTCCGAGGATCTTTTGTATTTCTGTGGGATTGGATGAAATGTCTTGTTGTTTCTGATTGTGCTTATTTGGATCTTCTCTCTTTTTTGCTCGGTTGATTTAGCTGGTGGTCAATTGATCTTGTTTGTCCTTTTAAAGAACTACTTTTCTAGTCCCTTGAGGTTCAATGTTAGATTGTTTATTTAAAATCTTTCTACTTTTTTGATGTTTATTGCCATACACTTTCCTCCTAGCATTGCTTTTGCTGTATTCCATAGATTTATGGTTTTTTGTTTGAATTTTTATTTTTTTAATTTTTAAAATTTTCTCCTTAATTTCTTTATTGACCCAATGGTCATTCAGTAGCATGCTGTTTAATTTCCATGTATTTGTACAGTTTCCAAAGTTTATCTTCTTATTGATTTATAATTTTATTCCATTATGATCTAAGAAGGTACTTGATATGATTTTGAATTTCTTGTATTTGTTGATACTTGTTTTGTGACATAACATATGGTCTATCCTGGAGGAGTTTCCATATGCTGATAAGAAGAATGAGTATTCTACAGCTGTAGGATGAAATGTTCTGTAAATGTCTGTTAGGTCCACTTGTTCTAAAGCGCAGTTTAAAACCAATATCTCTTTGTTAATTTTTTTTCCAGATGATCTGTCTAATGATGCGAGTGGGATGTTGTTGTTCCCAGCGATTACTGTACTAAAGTCTATCTCTCCCTTTAGCTCCAATTATATTTGTTTTATATATCTGGGTGCAATGTTGGGTGCATATATACTTAGAATTGTTATATCATCTTGCCGAATTGATCCCTTTATCATTATATAATGACCTTCTTTGTCTCTTTTTACTGTTTTTGACTTAAAGTCTGTTTTATCTGATATAAGTATTGGTACCTCTGCTCATTTTTGGTTTCTGTTTATGTGGAATACCTTTTCCAACCCTTTTACTTTCAGTCTATATGTCTTTATAGATAAGGTGAGATTCCTGTAAGCAGCATATAGTTTATGTTTTTCAGATCCTTTCAGCTAATCTATATCTTCTAAGTGAAAAGTTTAATTTGTTTCAATTCAAGTTTATTATTAGCATGTGAGGGCTTATTCCTGTCATTTTATTAATTGTTTTCTGGTTGTTTTGGATATTCTTTGTTCTTTTCTTTCTGTGTTATTTTTTATCATTGTAGTTTGGAAGTTTCTGTAGGGGTAACATTTGAGTCCTTTCCCTTCCTTATTTGTGTGTTTGTTCTACCAATCAGTTTTACACATTCATGTATTTTCATAATGGTAAATATCATCCTTTCACTTTCTTGTGCAGGACTCTTTAAACATTTCTTATAGGACCAGCCTAGTGGTTATGAATTCCCTCAGGTTTTACTTGTCTGAGAAGTATTTCACTTATCTTTCACTTATGATGGCTAAGTTTACTGTGTTTAGTAAATTTGCCTGGCAGTTTTTTTTTTGTCTGCACTTTCAATGTGTCATTTCACTCCCTCCTGGCCTGTAAGGTTTTGTTGATAAATTTGTTGCTAGTTTGATGAGAATTCCCTTATAAACGACTAGATGCTTTTCTTTTGCTGATTTTAAAATGATCTGTCTTTGGCTTTTAATATCTTGACTATAATGTACATGTAGAAGAACTTTACGGGTTGTGTCTATTTGAGGATCTTGAGTTTTCTGTATCTGGAGGTCTAAATCTCTTGCTAGAGTTGGAAGATTTTCAGCTTTTCAGCTATTATATCACTAAATAAGTTTTCTCTTCCTTTGCTCTTCTCTTTGCCTTCTGGGCCCCTTAAACTTCAAATATTTTGTTGCTTTATGGTGTTCCATATGTCACATATGATTTGTTCATGCTTTTTAATTCTTTTTTTCTTTATTTTTGTCTGACTGTGTTATTTTAAAAGACCTGTCTTTAAGTTCTGAAATTCTCCTGCTTCATCCTAGTAAATTGTTGAAGATCACAAATTTAACTTTTTATTTCATTAATCAGTTATTTAGTTCAATGATTTCTGTTTGGTTCTTTTTAATATCTATTTGGTAAATTTCTCATTTGTGTCCTGAATTGTTTTCTAGTTCTTTGTATTATTTGTATTTGTTCTTTTTTTTATCTCACTCAGGTTCTTTAATATCATTGTATTGAATTTTTCCCAGGATTTCATATTTTTATTGGAATCTGTTGTTGGAGAATGATTATGTTTCTTTGGAGTTGTGATATTTCCTTGTTTTCTCATGTTTCATATAGTTACAGTCCATCTGCTGTAACAGTTCTTTCTTCTAGTTTTTTAGACTTGCTTTTGTAGGGTAAGACTTTTTCCTGAAGATGTATATATGGTGTTGCCTGAGTAGGGCAATTTTGCTTTGGTTATAGGTGCATGCAGTAGTGTAGTCTTTGTGTAGTTTTATTTTGTACAAATAGCATCAGTGGTGTCTTTGATTTCCTCAGTGGCTTAGAGTGCAGTTATTAGAGGAGGCTATGGTGAAGTTTTCCTGGTGATTAGGACACCAGGTGAGTCCGTCCTCAGGCCCCAGTGGTGGGCCAAGCATGCCTTTTCTTGGGTCCTCCATGGCATACACTGGCACCAGTGTTAGTGGATCCAGGCAGGCCAGTTCTTGGGCCTCCCAAGCAGCTTGCTCAAGGGAAAACAATGGCAGTAATGTGCTGGTTGGGTGAGCAGCTCATTGATCCCCTAGGCAGTAGGCATGGCATAGGCAATGGTAGCACTAGTGATGGTACACTTCTCTGAAGTGGTTCACACTGGTGTCATTGGTGGCTGAGACAGGCTGGGTGGGCCAGTCTCCAGGCCCACAGGTGGCATATGTGGGTGGTTGTCAGCTGTGAGGTAGTAACTGGCTGGTTGGGTCCATTCTCAGGCCCCTGGGATGAGTATTTATGTGCCAATGATGGTGCCAGGGGTGAGGTGATCCTCAGGCCTCCAGTAGTGGGCTCAGGTGGAGGCTGCAGTATTAGTGATGGGTGAGGGGAGCCTGCCTTCAATTTTCATGCAAGTATTCTGCAGCCCTGCTGCTGGGGAGGACAGGGCTGCTGTCAGTGGAAGCAGCCATAAACTGATGACTGTGAAGCATGCCATTCAGCCCCAGACAGCAGCTGTGCATGGGGGAACCTGTCCTCAGAGTACATGTAAATGAACAGTTGCCCCACTTCTGGGGACAATGAGGTCATTGTCAATGGTTCATATTTTAATACCAGCAGCAGCAGAGGTAGAGGTGGCAGTGGGCAGGGTAGCCTTGCCTTAAGGCATGTGCAAATGCAAGATGACCTCATTTTATGGGGTCAGCGGGGTCACTGGCAGTAGCTCAGGCTTCAGCCCTTGTGGCAGCATCCGGCCATCACAGTGACTACAAGTGGGCTATGCAAATAGTGCTCCAGAATTGCGGAGATACCGGCATTGCTGGGCCTCATGGCAGGATTTAGTCTAGTGGGTGCTGGGCTCTCAAAATGGCCCTGTTCTATAGCTGCTTAGGACTTGGGAGTGTGTAGGACCCAGTGTGAGCCTCTTTTGTGGAACAGTGTGTTTACACAGTCAACAAGGCAGGTTTCTATGTTAGTCTCAGGGCCTGCAAAGGTCGAGGGGCTCTTGCAGGGCTAGGATTTTGGGAGTCTGTGGTGGGGATGTAGATGACTAGGGATTTCTCACTTACTCTTTCCCCACACTGGAAATCCTCTCCTCAAGCTAAAGTTTTGAGTGCCAGATTAAGTTTAGAATCCAAAGTAACAGATGCAATGCCAAATCTGGAAGGAAGTCGGAGAATAATTTGTGAAAAACTAAACGAAGATTCAGAAACTGGATGGGAGTAGAGAGTGTAATTCAGATAGAAGAGTGAAACTATGGATCATTTTGGGTACTTTGAGCTCATGTATATATTTTGATAAATATGTAGTGTGGTGGTATATCAGCTGGCTGAAAGAAAAATTTCAAGATAGTCAACCAAAGAACGAGGGGCAATGATGGGCTGGGTGGATAAGCAGGTCATGGATCATAAAGCTCTTTTTGCTTTATGTTTTATTATTTTCCCTGGGCCCCAAGTTATAGTATTTCCCATGCATAGCTCATCCTTGTTTAAAAAAAGATTTATACAGACCCAAACATAAAGAAAGAATGAGATGAATCTGAGGAAAATAAACATATTATATGTAGAACATACATTTGTTATATTACCCATCAATTGTACTCCTGAGTTTCATACCACAGTAATGATTATCCACACACAAACCTGTGCATGGTTGTTACTATTGAGCTAATTTGCAATATTCAAAAACTAGAAATAACGACAGTGTCCCTGAATGATTGACAAATGATGGTATATTCATGCCACAGAATACTACTCAGACATAAAAATAAATTATTGCTATACTCAACAACTTTAGTGAATACCAAGGATATTATACTGAATGATAAAAGAACCTCAAGAGGTCACATACTGTATTATTTTTCTATATAACATTTTATAAGTGATGAAACTATAGAGATGGAAAGCAGGTCAGTGGTTGTCAAGGATTAGCCATGGTGGAAAAGAGAATGGTGGATGTGACTGTAAAAAGATAGGATAAGGTAGATTATTGTGGTGATGGAATGTTCTGTGTCTCGATTGTGGTGGTGTTTATACAAATCTACATGTATGACAAAATGACATAGAAGTATATACTCACATTGTATCAAGTTGATTTCCTGGTTTTGATTTTGTATTATATAAGATGTTACCATTATAGGAAATGGGTCGAGGGTACATGGACCTCTCTGTATTATTTTCAAAACTTCCTGGAATTCTAAAATTATTTCCAAAAAAATTTAGAAGTATTTGTGACAAAGAGTGCCTGGATTATGTAAGAGAGTGCAGAGTTTTAATATGGAAATAATTCATCAGAGGACTAAAACTATACATTTAAGGCAGGATGATTGTGTGTTTCTATAGTTACTATTTTCTAATATATTGTATTTTAGATGAATTACCAATAGCAAATCATACAAATAGCTGGATCTAAAGAGAATATATAAAGTCAGAACAAATAAATGGTCAGATACCAGAGCCATGGTATTCTGAATCCTTCATGTAGTAAAATTAACCTTTTAAGTGTGAATAAATTATCGATTCACCTCTGAATGAGGCAAAGAACCACACAAAGTAAACACCATAATGTTTTCAAGACCTTATGCCTGTTCAGTATTAGAATGACTGTTCATGAATGGAGAGAAAGTGAAGTGGTATTATGGATAAAGCAATAAATAACATAAGGTAAAATAAAATAAGACAAAACAAAACAAGGAAAGCGAGCACTCAGGAAAGATGATGATGTATTGTAAACATCTGGGGTATTATATATATCAAGTAAACTGTGAAACTAAAGTCCAAAAGGAAAAACAAAGACCAAAAATAAAACAAAAAGCACTTGGCAAAGACATGTAATCTTTTAATTTTTTTCTGAATAAATTTACGATGAAGTAAAAACCAGTATCTTTCAGCTGTATGAATACAAAGATATAAGCATTTCTGTGAGCACTACTTTACATCTTAGGGTCTTCCTTAAAGAAAATAAAGGAACAATTACAGGACAGGGCAGCATAATCAAACATTTTTTTCCTAAGTAAATCTGCAGTTTATTTGTAAAATAGGCAAAAAAAAAAATCAGGAAGTTGTTAGAGTAAATAACCATTTTTAGTGCTTTTTGTGTTAATATGCAAGGGAGGGAAAGCAAATGGAAAACGGACATATGGAACAGATTTGTTGAAGCAGGCCCCGTTGGCAAACTCGATTCTATTGCTTTGTTCATTGTCTACATTCAAATCCAAACACATTAGTTTCTCCTTTATAGTGACTTTGTTTCCATGACATCAAAACACTATTCAGTTTAGGGAAAAACAATCTGTACAGCAAGGTGAGAGTCATGAAGTTTATACAGTCAACTCCCTGAATATATAAATGTGGATTTGTGCATGTGTGAAACCTTGACTGATGTTTCAAATTTGACCTTCTAATCCCGGTAAAATTTTTATTTGAATTTGGTGTTTTCAAGACCAACAAAGAATCTCATCAATAATTTGTAACATTTGTGAACACAAATTTAATTTTTTTTAGTCTTTGTTAACTGTTAGTTTAAATCTGCATTCTTTTCTGACTAGGTTTACCATCAAAAGCACAAATTTGTAAAGAATGTATTCACTTCTTATGTATGTTGATGACAGAAGATTGAAAATCCCAATGAATCAAAACCTTTTATGCTTGTAGGATTACTTCTTGCCATCATTGTCTTTTTTTTTCCCTGAAGCAGCCAAGAAAATAAAAGTGTTCTGCAATCAATTTACCAATAAATACCCAGAGGTGACTTTGTAGCCAAAAGATATCCACAATAATGTTGCATCTAGGATTTCTCAAACACTGAGACACCTGTTAACGATTTTTAACAAAATATTGTAAAGATTGAGAGTTCATTTCAACATTATATGTTGTAATGCATCGATTAGCAGTGTTAGACAGAAAAAGTGGATGTTTTGGTTACATATATATTACAACTCTGAGGAAACAATTCTATCTAAAGTTTATTTTCTGAAGGAGTTAATATTCACTAATTCAACTCCAATCTTTTCCCTGGATTAATTTATCTTCTCTCCTTCAATATATATTACATTTTTGCCTTTCTAGTCCACACCCAACTCATACTCAACATATATATATATGTATGTACACAACAAATATATATATACACACACACCTGATAGTCATGGATGATAGATTAATAGAGTTGAGTACTTCACTTAAAAAATAGTTGTTAATGTTGCTGAATGTGGATTCATTTCACTGAACCTAACCACTGCATAGTACATACACACATATGTTATTATATTGATCTATATGCTAATTTTTCTCAGATATATTTAGATTGGATTGATGTAATGGATTGTATGATGATGTTTCTCAGTTTATTCAGAATAATCTCAGTTTATGCCAATTATCCTAGGATAGTTATGAAGTGTCACAGTTTGTATGATAAATTATAGAATCATTCTAGACACGGGATGTGTGTATATTTAATTTAGCTAAGCAGTCTCTAGATTATATCTAATACTTTATACTTCTTTCGGAACATGAGGATTCCTGTTTCAACACATTCTATCAAGATTTACCAGTAACTGACTTTCAGATTTCTGCAACTCTGATGGCTATAAGAAGTCTCTCTTTGCAGTTTTAAATTGCATGTTTCTCTAATTGCTACGGAGATTTGGTGGTACTTTAATTTATTTAGTTTTAGCCTTTTAAGGTTTTCCACTTGTGAATTAACTACTTATTGCCTATGTGCATTTTATATTGGATGTTCTGTCTTATATTCTAAATATTAACCACTTTTCAATTTTCGATATTATAAATACCATTCCTTAGCCTGTTATATATCTGTTAACATTGTATATAATGTCCTTTATTGAATAAAAATCTGTAACTTTTGATGCATTCAATCAAATTAATCAATATTTTGGCCTAAGTTTTCTCCTTTGTGGAATATTATTGAAGAAGTGTATCCCCATTCCAAAATAACAAAGTCATTTTTCTGTAATTTATTTTATTATTAAGTTGACTGTTTGTTTACTACATATTAAAATATTTAATTATCTAAAGTGCACTTTGGAATAATAGTAAAGGATTACCTTTATTATTTTGTTTACATATTGATCCAGGTTCCCAAAGCCAACTACTAAATATTACAACATTTCCATATCCACTTTTGGTGGTCCATTTGTAATACATTCATTCCTATGTACATATAGCACTGTGTTTAAACTTGTATTCCACTCCATTGCTCTATTTATTCTTTAGTGCACCAATGTCAGATTGTTTCGTTTTGTGTTTTGCTATGACTCTGTAGATTGTTGTGAAATATATAGCGGAGAGCCTCTGTTCTTTGAAACCTCTTATTTATTCCATACATAGTATTTACATGCACCTGATTTTCAGATACATTCTATAAGATATTTAAGTGCATTGAAACTCCAGCTGTTAGTGTTAGTTAGACACAGAATGGAAGAAGATTGTGGATTGGACAACTTTGCTAATCTCTCTTGTTAGAGCCAATAGTTTGCCTATTGATGCTGTTCAATTTTCTGTGTGGATAATTACATCATGTGAGAATTTAACAGTTTTTTTCCTCGTTTATTTTTCATAATTCTGTTCCCTATTTCTTCCATCGACCAGGATCTACAGTTCTATATCAAATAGAATAAGTGGCAGCAGGAACCATTTTTATGTTTTAAATCTCAAACTGATTAGGTCTAAAGATTTTAATGTCCCTTTCTTTGTTTTAATATAATTTTTAAATATATAGATGGGTTTTGTTTAATGATAGCTTTTGTTGTGGTAAATTCTCTTTTGGTCATAGTTGTCATTTAAGGAATTGAACATTGAGGTTTTTGTTTTCATTAAGGTAATAAGCATTTATCTATTTGTTTGAACATTTTAATCTTATGTTAACCTTATCTTTTTCTGATGAGTATCAGTTTCTAAGAAAAAAATTAAAAATTTCAAGGAAAATTATTAATATATCCGTTCTCTTCATATTTTCCCTGTTGTTGCTTTACTTAATTTGAGGGCATGTTATTGTGTGCATATATTCATGATTACTTTCTCATCTCTACTGTTTTTTTTTTTTTTTTTTTTTTTTTTTTACTATTTTTCAAATAATTCTCCGTTTTTATAAACCTTCCCAACATTTAGTTCCACTAGTACCCAGCAATGCCAGTTTGGAGAATAGAGATGTGTATGTCAGATTGGTTATCAGGTTCACCCATTGTAACAAAACTAATTGAATTTCCACTCATCCATCTGCTGCTCACCTTTCAAAATTTTGTTGCCTTTTTTAATCTTCTGTGCTGTTCTCTTTGTTTATATCTTTGAAAAAATTTCCTCATTTTTAATAGAATGCCAGGAGAATGAAAAATTACATGCATTTGTTTAATGTATTATTTTACCAGGATGCTCCCATTAGTATTTTTTCAAAAAGTTCTACTTGTTAACTTGCTGTCATCATTTTTTTTCGCTTTCTTGGACTTTAAATATGATGATATTAATGCTCTTAATCTTATCCTCTAGTTATCTTACATACTCTACTTCCCATTTTTATCCTCTTTTATGCCTTCTGAGAGGTATCCTAAAACTGTTCTTCTATTTCTTAAAGTGATTTTTATGTCTGTCTTGTCTTTCATTTGGGAGACTTTTCACTGTTTTTTTTATTGCTAATTATCACCGATAGGTTGTTTTATTCTCATCCTTCTCTTCCAACTTTTATTTTAGGTTCAGGGGATTACATGTGTATGTTTGTTACATGGTTAAATTGCATGTTGCTGGGGTTTGGTGTACAAATAATTTCATCACCCAGGTAGCGAGCATAGTACCCAATAGGTAGTTTTCAAGTCTCACCCTCCTCTCACTCCACCTTCAAGTAGACCCTGGCGTCTGTTGTTTCCTTCTTTGGGTCTATGTGCACTCAGTGTTTAGCCCCCACTTACAAGTGAGAACATGCAGTATTTGTTTTATTGTTCCTGCATTATTTCACTTAGGATAATGGCCTCCAGCTGCATCCATGTTGCTGCAAAGGACATGATTTCATTGGTTTGTATGGCTGTGTAGTACTCCATCATGTATATGTACCACATTGTCATTATCCAATCAACCTTGATGGGTATCTAGGTTGACTTCATGTCTTTGCTATTATTAATAGTGCTACAATGAACATACTATATGTCATGTGTCTATATGGTAGAACAATTTATATTTCTTTGGGTATATACCCAGTGACGAGATTGCTAATCAAATGGTAGTTTTTTTTTTTTAATTCCTTGAGAAATTACCAAACTGTTTTCCACAATGGTGAACTAATTTACATTCCCATTAGCAGTGTATAAGCATTCCCTTTTCTCTGTATCCTCACCAGCATCTGTTATTTTTTGACTTTTTAATAATAGCCATTTTGAGTGGTGTGAGATGGTACTTATTGTGGTTTTGATTTGCATTTCTTTAATTATTAGTGATGTTATCTTTCTTTCATATGCTTGTTTGCTGCATGTATGTCTTCTTTTGAGAAGTGTTTGTTCATATACTTTGCCCATTTTTTATTTTACTTATTTATTTATTTTGAGACATTGTCTCACTCTGTCACGCAGGCTGGAGTGCAGTTGTGCCATCTCAGCTCACTGCAAACTTTGCCTCCTGGGCTCAAGGATCTTTCCACTTCAACCTCCTGAATAGCTGGGACTACAGGTGTGTACTACCACACTCAGCTATGCTGTGCCCATTGTTAATGGAGTTGTTTGATTTTGCTTGTTAATTTAAGTTCCTTATAGATTCTGGATATAAGACCTTTTCAGATGCATAGTTTGCAAATATTTCCTCCCATTCTGTAGGTTGTCTGTTTACTCTGTTGATTATTTCTTTTGCTGTGCAGAAGCTCTTTAATTAGGTCCCATTTGTCAATTTTTATTTTTGTTGCATTTGCTTTTGGAGTCTTTCTCATGAAGCCTTTGCCAGGGCCTATGTCCATAACTGTATTTCTTTAGTTTCCATCTAGGTTTTCTTAGTTTTAGATTTTACATTTAAGTCTTTAATTCATGTTGACTTGATTTTTTGTATTTGGTGAAAGAAAGGTGTCCAGTTTCAATCTTCTGCATATGGCTGGCCAGTTATCCCAGCACCATTTATTGCATAGGGAACACTTTCCTCATTGTTTGTTGTTGTTGACTATTTCAAAGATCAGATGGTGATGTGGTTTGGCTCTGTGTCCCCACCGAAATCTTACCTTGAATTGTAATCCCCATAATCCCCACATGTCAAAGGTGGGACCAGGTGGAGGTAATTGAAGCTTGAAGGCAGTTTTCTCCATGCTGTTCTTGTGATAATGAGTTAGTCTCCCCATATCTGATGGTTGTATAAGTGTCTGGCATTTCCTCTGCTTGCACTCATACTCTCTCCTGCCTCCCTGTGAAGAGGTGGCTTCCGTCATGATTGTAAGTTTCCTGAGGCCTGCCCAGCCATGTGTGCAACTGTGAGTCAATTAAACCTCTTCTCTTTATAAGTTATTCAGTCTTGGGCAGTTCTTTATGGCAGCATGAAAATGGGCCAATACAAATGGTTATAGGTGTTTGGCTCTATCTCTGGGTTCTCTGTTTGATTGCTTTGGTCTATGTGTCTATTTTTGTACTACTACCATGCTGTTTTGTTTACAGTAGCCCTGTGGTATAGTTTGAAGTCTGGTAATGTGGTGTTTCCAGCTTTCTTCTTTTTGCTTAGGGTTGCTTTGCTATTCAGGCTCTTTTATGGTTGCATATAAATTTTAGCATAGTTTTTCTAATTCTGTGAAAAATGTAATTGATAGTTTGATAAGAATAGCATTGAATCTGTAAATTTCTTTGGAGAATATGGTCATTTTAACAGTATTGATTCTTCCTATTTGATCAGTTATTTTAATTGTTTTCTCTCTTTCAGCTTTCACATATACTTCCATGTCATTTTGAACTCACTTGTTAAACTCATTTTAACTCTTATTATCTCTGGTCTGTTGAATCTGGTATTTCCATTTATTTGTTGTCTTTCTTTCATGATTTCTGGGCTCCTTACATGAGCTTCTTCTCGTTCCTTTTGTTTGTTTGTTTGTTTTTTCCCATGGACATATATATTCTTCGCTATTGCTACTTAGTCTGGTAATAAGTAGTTGCAGGGAAGTTAGATAGTACAGGCCCTAACCTGAGGCCCTCTTGGTGAGTTTAGGGGAAACAAAACATTCTCTTCTGGGCTATTTTTTATGTTTTAGATTGCATAATCACAAAAAAAATCTGGAAAAATAATTAAAAAAAAGAACATGAGTGCTAATTTATCTTGTTTCCTGATAATGATTCCTGTGACAGCAGATACTCTGCATAGGTCAATTTCTGTGAAGAGGGAGTTATTACATGAAGGAGTCTTCGGATAGTATGCTTTTGAATATAGCAATTTTTGTGAGAGTATCTCTCTCCTAGTATCTGCCTTTTCTTGAGACTTTAAATGTGAAAGGATGATTTTTCATTGTTTCAACAAGTTTTGCTGATTTCCTTTTTCCTTTTCTCCATGATGATCAGAGGAGTGCATTCTCATTATTGTAAACTCGGAAAACTTGGAATGGTTAAAAAAAAAACACAAAATGATTTAAAAGCCATAACCAGTGATTTGTAATTGAATAAAATACTACACTCCATTTAAAATGATGCCAATACATTTGACCATTTCTTCTTGGCATTATATTTCCTCAAAATCACTTTTGTATATATTAATATAAGATCCATAATTTCAAAGAAACATGTAACTTATCAACTACCTTATCTGTGGAAATGTAGTTTGTTTTCAATTTTTGTTATTATAAATAATGTTTTGATAAAGTCTTTGTACATAAATAGCAATGCTCTCATTTTCTTGGGAGACAGTCTTAAACATAGAAGTAGTGTTAAAATGTATGAGTTATTTTGTAGATTTTTGTTACACCAAAACAATAAACTTTCTTTGCCCATCAATGCAAATTATAGAAATTGTGATCAAATATGGCATTTTATTTTCAATTAACCTAGATGTCTACTCAGAATTCTTCCCAACACAGCCACTAATCTACTACAAATAAAACATTTAACAATTATCTTTAGTCTGTATTAGGAATTGAGGATCTAAATTGAGTTTCTACAAAATATTCCCCGATTTTTTATCATTTATTAACAACCACATTTCACTTAATTTTTTGATAGTGTTAAGATTATTCAGTTTTTGTACATGTTTAGCAGCATCCCTTTTTGGACCCTATATTATGACTGATTGATTTAGCTAGGGACTCCTGCACAAGTGATACCATGCTTCAAATCATTGAGCTTCACAGTATTTTGTAGTGTTAGTTTTACCATATGTTTTTACTCTTCTCTAAAGTAGTCTTGACTTTACTTGCTTATTTTTTGCAAGTAAAATTTAGAAATATGTTGATAATCTAAAAATGGATTCCATTGTTACATTTATTAGACATGATTTAAATGTATACAATAATTTTGAAAGAAATTCTGTCATTTCCTTGTGCATACTTCCTGCTATGGTTTGGATCATGATGCCCTTCTAAAATTTATACGGAAATTAATCCCCATTTGGTAGTATTAAGAGGTGGTGCCTTATGGGGAAGTGATTTATTCATGAGGACTCTACCTTCGTAAATGAGATTACCACTCTTATAAAAGAGCTTGAGATTGAAAGGAGCACTCTTTTGCCCTTTCCACCCTTTTCACCATGTGAGAACACAGCATTTCTCCCTTTTGGAGGATGTAGCGACAAAGCACTCTTATGGAATCAGAGAGCCTCACTGCATACACAATCTGCTGGTACCTTGATCTTGCACTTCCCAGCCTTCAGAACTGCAAGAAATAACTTTTTTCTTTATAAATTACTCAGTCTCAAGCAAGTATTCTCTTATAGCAGCACAAATGGTCTGACACAATTTCCATCCAAGAGTATATTTTCTCTCTTTATTCCACTTTTGTGTGCTCAGATAATTTTGTTACCTCAATACATTTTTACAGTTTTATGCACGCAAGATATGTGTATTTCTTTTCAGAAGCAGCATAATTCTGCTCTGCTTTGTTGGTGTAATAAAATAGTTATCTATTACATTTTCTAAATGGATAACTTGCATATGTTAAAACTTTCAATTTGGTATATTTATTAAACACCATCAAATAATGGTTCAAGAAGTTCTATAAAGCCCAGGTGAGATAAGTAAAAACAAATCCCAGCATACAGTATATATTAATCTGTTTTCATGCTGCTGATAAAGAACCAAGACTGGGCAATTTACAAAAGAAAAAGATTCAATGGACTTACAGTTCCACATGGCTGGGGAGGCCTCACAATCATGGCAGAAGGCAAGGAGGAGCAAATCACGTCTTACATGGATGGCAGCAGGCAAAGAGAGAGAGAACTTGTGCAGAGAAACTCTCATTTTTTAAAGCCATTAGATCTTGTGAGACTTATTCACTATCACAAGAACAGCACAAGAAAGACTTGCCCCCATGATTCAATTACCTCCCACTGGGTCCATCCCGTAACACATGGGAATCCAAGATGAGATCTGGGTGGGGAACATAGCCAAACTATATCATAGTACATAATAAAAAATTGCTACAAATAGAAAAAAAGAGAAAATACTAATTTCAGAGAAAAGAGACGTGTTACCTTCAATGATGCAACAAATAGAATCCTAATTGTCTTCCCAATAAAAACTATAGAAACCAGAACACAGTGAGATTGTATACAAGTTGCTTCAACTTACTGAAATATTTTTTTTTAATTTCCATAGGTTACTGGGGAACAGGTGGTGTTTGGTTACATGAGTAAGTTCTTTAGTGGTGATTTGTCAGATTTTCGTGCACCCATTACCCAAGCAGTATACACTGCATCCAATTTGTAGTATTTTATCCCTCACCCCCTTCCCCTGAGTCCCCAAAGTCCACTGTGTCATTCTTATGCCTTTGCATCCTCATAGCTTAACTCCCACTTATGAATGAGAACATATGATGTTTGGTTTTCCATTCCTGAGTTACTTTACTTAGAATAAAAGTCTCTAATTTCATCAAGGTTGCTGTGAATGTCATTAATTAATTTATTTTTATGACTGTGTAATATTCCATCATATATATATATATATATACCATGGTTTCTTTATCCGCTTATTGATAGATGGGCATTTTGGTTGGTTCCACAGTTTTGCAATTGCGATTTGTGCTGCTATAAAGATGTGTGTGCAAGTATCTTTTTGTATAATGACTTCTTTTCCTCTGGTAGATACCCAGTAGTGGGATTGCTGGATTAAATGGTAGTTCTACTTTTATTTTCTTAAGAAATCTCCGCAGTAGGTTGCAGTGAGCCAAGATTACACCATTGTACTCCAGTCTGGGTGACAGAGGGAGACTCCGTCTCAAAATAAAATAAAATAAAATAAAATAAAATAAAATAAAATAATCTCCACCTTGTTTTCCATAGTGGTTGTACTACTAGTTTACATCATTCCCACCAGCAGTGTAGAAATGTTCCCTTTTTTGTGTTTGTTTGTTTTCTTTTTCTTTTCTTTTCTTTTCTTTTTTTTTTTTTTTTTTTTTTTTTTGAGATGGAGTCTCACTCTGTCACCCAGGCTGGAGTGCAGTGGTGTGATTTCCACTCACTGCAACCTTCGCCTCCCAGGTTCAAGCAATTCTCCAGACTCAGCCTCCTGAGTAGCTGGGATTACAGGCACCTGCCACCACGCCCGGCTAATTTTTGCATTTTTAGTAGAGATGGGATTTCACCATCTTGGCCAGGCTGATCTTGAACTCCTGACCTCGTGATCCACCTGCCTCTGCCTGCCTCCCAAAGTGCTGGGATTTCAGGTGTGAGCCACCACACCCAGCCTGTTCCCTGGTTTTTATATGATGTCTACAGGGTTTAGCTGCACATACCAAGAGGGATAGGGAAAAAATTGTCTATTCTATCTTTTCTGAAACTGAAAGATCCTAAACCTTTCTTTTAACTTCTAGAATTTATTTTTTCATTTTGCTCAGAAAATGAGACTTGTAGCATGTCTGTTTGTAGTATAGTGAAATTTGTTATTGAGTAATTTATCAACATTTTTCCAAATCCTATTAGTACTTCCATTACACATTTTTTTTTTTTTTGAGATGGAGTCTCACTCTGTCACCCAGGCTGGAGTGCAGTGTCACAGTCTCAGCTCACTGCAACCTCTGCCTCCTGGGTTCAAGCAATTCTCCTTTCTCAACCTCTTGAGTAGCTGGGACTAAAGGCATGTGCCACCATGCCCAGCTAATCTTTGTATTTTTAGTAGAGATGGGGTTTTGCCATGTTGGCCAAGCTAGTCTTGAGCTCCTGACCTCAAGTGATCTGCCCGCCTCGGCCTCCCAAAGTGCTGGGATTACGGGCGTGAGCCACCCCGCCTGGCCCCATTACACATTTTTAATTATCATTTCCATTTGTTATGATATATTTTAGTGAGCTTTGCAGTTTGTCTTTTTATTTCTTGACTTTACATAATTTTTGTCATTTATCTCGATATTTCTGAAGACATTTTCTTTAATTACTTATTATTATAGAAATAATTCACAAATGTATTTCTTGCTTAAACAATATAGACAATATGGAGATATGTACATCAAAATAGAAATGTCTACCTTCACAATACAACTAGAAATAAAAATATATGGAATTTCATGGAAGGGCTTTATGTTGTTTAAACTTGGATATATACTACTTGTTTTCCAGAGGTATAGGCTACCATCACCACTATACCTACCAGAAACACGTGGACTGGAGAAGTGCTTTCACCAAGATTGAGGTGTTAATAGACAAAAGTCCAGCTACTTGAACAACAGAGTATTTTTGTAAAATTGATTGCTTGAAGTAAAAATGCTGCAAGTGATTTTCACATTCCAAACTTACAGACTCTGTCAGTTCACCTTCCTCAAACGCTTTATCCATTTACATTTCTATCCAAAATATAAAGAGCATATTCTTCTCTATATCTTTGCAAACACCACACATGTTTAGTCTTTTAAAATTGTGTGAATCTATTGCATAAAATTGTCATGGCTTTGTTGCTTACCCTTTCATTTTTCTGACTACAAGTTATATTCAAGTAGGTTTGTGAAAGTTATGCATTTCTATTTCTGTAGTCTTTTATTTTTCCTATTTCTGTGTTTATACTTACAATGATTATTTTATAGAGAATTTCTTCTTGAGGAAAATGCAAACCAGATGTTTTTTAAATTCAGTCCATTCACTTTAGAAAAGTGTTTTTAGATATTTACTCTTCATCTAAATCTCTATAGAAAAATCTCTCTTTTCTATATATTTTGTTAATTTTTCCCTTACATTGCTCATCCTTGTATAAGGTAGGATTAATACAGATACACAGATCTAAATTGTACTTTGCTTATAGAATCTTACTTCCAGGTCAAAACCTAGCCCTGAGTTTCCAATATTGAGTGGATTTGCAACTAAAGCTGTTCTGATAAATTATGATGGGCTTGTTTCTTCTTCCAGATAGTTAATTCACTAACTCTTTGAGAGATAGAATATATACAAATTAACATTTATTGGATGCATTTTAATTAGAAATTTCTATATTTTCTCTTGTCTCCAAGGCTTGACTTATGGGAACTGTTTCTCCTAGGGTACAATGCATGATTATGAATACTTCTTCCTCTACTTGTTTTTTGTAGTTACACACGCACACAAAAGTTCACATGTATTCCTTTTTCTAATTAACCTACTTTCTGCCAGGAAGGTCATATTTTGGTGATGCTTTGCTAGACTTCTCTTGAATATTGTTATTCCTCCTACAATATGACTGCTATATTCTTAAAATAATGTGCTAAGGATATAATCAAGATATATGGCACCATGTTTGTGTACCTTCCACATATAAATATATTCTCATATATACTCAATATAAATATATTCTTAGCACGTATCTATACAGACGCAAGTGTGGTCATTGTAGAAGAAATGAGAGACATAGGACCATGGAAGCATAATTCAGCCTCCTCACTATTGTCCTAAGTAATTCTTTGCAGTCTCCAAATTTTCGTAGTTCACTCGTCTAAACAAAAGCCCAGTAATCAAGTGAAATCAGTTTTCCCTAAAATCAATTTATGAACTGTCAACTTTTCCTTGCACTTACAGCTTGAAGAGGGTTTACTTTTTTTCAACCTCTATCCTAAATGTCCTATCAATAATATATTCAGCCTGATGGATGGCCAGTGTCAAAGAAAACTAAAGCTGGACAGTAGTTAATGTGGTAAAAACAGACTGTTTTCAGGCCTATAGCAATAGGAGAAAAGAGACCACAGTATAGAACTGGGCTCAATTCCAAATATAGCATGGGCAAGTGAGAATTTATAGCCAAGGAGCAGAGTAGAAGTTGATGGATGGAAAGTTACTAGGAGGAAACATCGGGAGTGGGACTGTATTCTGGCTAAAGGAATCTAACAGGATTCTTGTGAAGACAGTCCAGGGTGATCAGATACCTCCTGGGGAATGGTGCAAGAGGAGGGACCTAATCAGATATTGAGGATGAAGATTCTTGCTAAACTAACTTAGCAAGTTTCTTGCAAAATCTAGATTTTACAATGAAATGCACAGATAGGCCTAGGAGAAGGTTTAGAAGCCTGACTAAAGTTTGATCAAGCAAAGAATCTTTGTCATCCCATTAATTAAATATTCTCCATATTCTTACATTTTCAACAATATTTTAGTGATACTAAAGTGCTGTCATCACAGAAACCTACCCACAGGTATCTTTTTATTCCTTAGTAAACATCTGCATAACAGGCAATGAAAAATTGAGGTCTGCCAGGAGGATGACTTAGTACATACAATATTAGCAATCAGTTAGCCTAACCAATGATTTGCTAAAAAGCAATAGAAAATATATTTCCAAATAAAATTGTAGTGAAATTTTTATATGCAATGCAGATAACAAAAGAAGCCATTCCCTCTTATAACTTGGGATGGGGGAAGGTCAGGCATTGGCTATGCCGACCTTACTTATTAACTTTTTTCTCCCTTCTTACTCAAGACCATTTAAATACTGTATTTCAATTTAGGTAACTGTATTCAATTCAAAGTATTTTTTAACATTTTCATTTCATAATAGAATTTTAGCTGTCCTCCCTATTGTCAGTTCCTCCCTTTTGCATCTACCCTGTAAAGTCTCAGAGACTAAACTTCCCAAGGCACAGTTCTTGGCCCGTTTACCTAATCCTTCAGTGGCTCCATATCATCTATAAACTTGAATACAAAATCCTCAATATCTCATTCAAGGCTTTCAAAAAGTAAATTTCCAAATTCTCAGTCAGGTTGACTCCCTTTGTTTGGTGAAAGTCTCCCTGTATTTCTCTTTGTCCATATTTTTGTTCCTGCTATACCTTCTTTTTAATTATAATTTTATTTCAGATACAGAGGATACATGTTCATGTTTGTTACATGGGCATATTGTGTGATGGTTTGGAGTACGTATACTGTCACCCAGGTAGTGAGCATACAACCCAATGGATAGTTTATCAACCCACACCCCCTCTCTCCCTCACTGCTCTAGTAGTTCTCAGTGTCTATTGTTCTCAAGTCTCTGCTCATATGTGTTCAATATTTAGCTTCCAGTTATAAGTGAAAGCATTCAGTATCTAGTTTTCTGTTTTTATATTAATTCACTTAAGATTATGGTCTCCAGCTGTATCCATGTTGCTGCAAAGAACGACTTCTTCATTTGTTTTTATTTATATGAACAGACGTTTCTCAAAAAAAGGCATACAAATGGCAAAAAGAAAAGAAAAAGTGCTCAGTGTCACTAATAATCAGAAAATACAAAACAAAACCAAAATGAAATACCATCTCACACCATTTAGAATGACTATTATTAAAAAGTCAAAAAATAATAGATGCCGGCGAGGCTATGGAGAAAAGGGAACGATTATCCTCTGTTGGTGGGAGTATAAATTAATTCAACCATTTATTGTGTGATGCTGAGGTTTGGAGTATAGATTCTGTCACCCAGGTAGTGAGCAGACATCGTGGAAGACAGTGTGGCAATTTCTTAAAGAGCTAAAAACAGAACTACAATTCAACACAGCATCCTATTACCGGGTATATATCCAAATGAATGTCGTTCTATCAAAAAGACACATGCACTCACATATTCATTGCCATGCTATTCAAAACAGCAAGGACATTGAATCAACCTAGGTTCCCATCAATGGTAGACTAAAGAAAATGTGGTACATATACACCATGGGATACCCTGCTGTATATTTCTGATTGGGATGCAATTCTTACTGACCTACCTCATGATGTACTTTGAAGGCATACATTAAATGATATGGACTCTCTGAAATATTTCCTTTTTTCCCTAAATTTGGACATAGTGTCTTCTTCAAGTTCCCTCTAGTCGATGCCTACTGCTTTTCCTCTCCATGTTTCCTTCTCCTACTGAGAGAACTCCCACTTATCATGAGAAGCCATTTTTCTCACTCTGATTCTACACAGCTTGACAATTGATTCCCAGACCTGATAAATCAGAGCATGATATAATCCTGATCATAGCAATTATGTCTTATTTGGGTACATGAGTGAATTTATGTTAATAAGATTAAATTCGGGGACAAGGATTAGAAAAGATATTCAATCTTTCTGTTCAGGTTTCTGAGGGAATGAAATATTAGCCGGATCCTGCTAGCAGTCATGTTGTCACCCTGAGAAAGTAGAAAGTCTGAGATGTAAGCAAAGAGAACCAGCACAGAGGAAAGCAGATCCTGGGGCTAGAGAACATGAGAACAAGTAGTGATGATATAATCTGGGCTTTAGTCATTTCTAAAGTCAGCAGTATCTCTAAATGTTCAGGTTTGTACATCATTAAGCTTTGCCTTTTGCTTAATCCATTTTGGTTGATTTTCTGTCAGTAGCAAATGATAGAGTATTCAATGACTTTCTCATACGGCACTTTATTTGTGTTTGTTTCTTGGAATTGTAATTGAATTTGAATAAGCATTATGGCTAAATTTGCATGTATTTCCTCTTTCATCCCCTCATGTTTCTACCCTCCCATTTTAGCCTCCCACAACCTATGTAACTTCTTAAAGGACATTATTCATATTTTCCCTATCAATTATTTCAAACATCCTAAAACATTGTAGACAATTGATGCCTGATTTTAAAAGAAATTGTAGCTAGTCCATGTGTCTCTTTGCATGTGAATACAGACTAAAATAGCAATGCTACTCCTCAGTAAAGTGGGTGTTTTTTTAGAATAAAAGACATATTGAATCCATGAGGCCCATTTTCTGGTGATTTTCCCTGCAGAGAAGAAAAATCATTATTTTTGTGACCATGAAAATTCATTATTTTTAATTTTTTAGTCTTCAACTTTTAGGTTCAGGGGTTATATGTACAGGTTTGTTACATGGGTAAATTGCATGTTACTGAGGTTTGGTGTACGAATAATCCTGTCACTCAGGTAATGAGCATAGTACCCAATAGGTATTTTGTCAGTCCTTGCCCCATTCCCACTATCTCCCAACTAGTAGTCCCCAATGTCTGTTGTGCCCTTCTATATGTCCATGTGTACTCTTCTTTAGCTCCCACTTATAAGTTAGAACGTGCAGTATTTGGTTTTCTGTTTCTGCGTTAATTTGCTTAGGATAATGGCCTCCAGCTGCATCCATGTTTCTGCAAGGGACATGATTTCTTTTTAGAGTTTTCAAGACTTTTCAGCACATTGACATCAAATAGATTCAACTTCAAAACTATAACCTGGTAGAAAATTTCCCCTATCCTTTAGAAGTAATCCTAAACATTCACTTATGATGGATTAACAGTGGTGTGTGCTCCATACATATTGAAGGAAAACAAAATTAAAGTCAACTATCTCTTTGTGCTTCTGCCCTAGAGAATTATGGAGTTGATGTTTATTTCAAAATAATCATAGATTAAACAAGGAATTGAAGTATTTGGGTCAACAAAGAAATAAACCACTTTTCCTCCTGGAGGAAACAGGAAAACCATAAACATTTTCCTGTTAGATGTGTCATAAGAGAATTAATCATACTTTCTCTATTTCTATTTCTACTGTCTGAAACATCAAAAGCAATAAGGAAATGATTTAATACGATGGTTCTTCAAAAAAAATGAAATTCTTATTTTTTTAGTGAAAGTTGAATCTGGCCATGTTACTTCATTTGTGAAAACTTTGGAACATTGATAAACTAACACTCTGTAGTTTATGGCAGTATAATGATACTACCAGCTATAATTATTTTAAAATACAGACCTCTGGATGCCTGTGATCCTTGCTGTTAATAAATAGTGTAAATACTTCATATCTTTGTACATCTTGAGAAAAGAAGAATGTCATTTTTAATTCCTTTATTATGATATTTGGAGTAGATTCCATTCAAATATACTAAATACGACAATGGAATGAAAGCAAAACAAAATGGTCAGCAAAAGTAAGAATTGGCATTTTATTCCCTCTAGTCTTTGCTTTTTGTAAATTCCACATTTCACAAGGCATGTGATTTTTCTTTTAGTCAGCAGGGGACTATCAAGGAGTTAGCCAACCAGAAAGTGTCTATGAAAATAACAAGAGGGAATTATCTACCTTGTAGACCACAGGGAAGTAATGTTTTTAAAGCTAGGTCAAGAATTAGGCAAAGAAACCTTTACATTTACAATACAGTTGTAATAACTTTGAGCTTTATGATAGCTGTAATATTGCACTTATGCTACATCTGCTATTTTATTTTAAATTCCTGAGCCCTTACATGAAAACTCAAGCTAAAATCCTATAATGAAGAGCCGACTAGACATTCAAGTTATTTTCTTTATTTAAATTCATTGGGATAGTAACATTAATATCCATTCTAAAGCTAGAATACATCAGTTGAAACTATTGCTTAATGTAAATCAATTGAAACTAATAGAAATAAAGTATCAACATGTTGCCGGTGTGTGGGGGGGATGCTTGTCATACAAGATTCCCCAATATTACGGATTGATACATTATTTAGAAAATTTGTTAAATTTTTTTTTTGAAATGATAGTTGAATGAAGAAGGGAGGAAAGAGCCATGTTATTCTTTGAAAATTAGCTCTGGGGAACTGGGGAAGTAAACTTATGAGGGTTTCAATTGGGAATCATTTATAGTACAGTATATTACACCAACCAATAGCTTAATTAAAATATGTATCTAGGACAGTAACATTGATCCAAAGGACTTTCATATTTCATTTTCTGTAAAATAACCACACAAAGAATATTTGTTACCTAAGGCCAAGTTTCTAGAGTCTAAAACTACAGAAAAACTTGTAACAAACAATAATCGCTTGGTAAATTGATTTTAGTTTAGAGTACTTCACAGGACAAGACAGGTATTACAGTTTCTGTACAGGAACCCTTGGCCTTAGAAATGAGCCTGCTTGGGGAGTATCTGAGTACTTTTATTTACCTAATGTGGGATCTCTATATGTTAGAACTTTCTCAGCCAAACCCAGAAATTTTAATTGCCATTTGTTTTGAGAGCTTCTCATTTCATAGTAATGAAACTCATGTTTTCTATCAGTGAAAAAACAAAAGAACCATTTTAAAATTCAGCATTAAGGAATTCTGTAGGAGTTTATGATAGGAATGTAAAATATAATCACATTTTGTAACTCTGGATAATGTGTGATATTTTATTCACATTCATATGTACTCCTGCATACACATACATTGAACATAATTGTGTGTTAATATAGACTGTATATATAATGTGTAATATGTATTACATTCAGTATACTTATAAATTAAACTTGCGTGCCATAGACATAAGTATGATGAACCAGTATGTAAGCTAATAAGTTTCTTTTCATTGCTTTTTAATTTCCCTCTTAAAATTTCACATATACTTACTATTTAACGTATATCTGTGGGAGATTCCCTAATTTAGAGAAATGTTAGATAGCACCTAGAAAGACTGGTGTGTGAAAATAGTTACTTGAAATTTTCTCCAATATTTCTGATAATAAAGCCACTCCAAATTTTCTCATATTCTTATAATGACAAAGCAATTTTTGTGAATGTAGGATTTTGTTATGGACTAAACCATAATTTTAAAAGTTTTCTTTCAGGACAAAACATTCTCACTACTTTTTTTATGAGAAGAGTGTTACAAAATTTAAAATTAAAGAAAAATAGTCTGATGTGTGTTTATCACCTGTTAGGAAGTAGTGTAGATCTATAAAGGTGGTTGCAGCCCTTGAAAGCAACAAATATTAGATTTTATAATTATGCCAAAAAAATAAAAAATGTGTCTGTACATAACCTATAAGATATTACGATCACTTAATTTAGAAAATATTGTATGGAAGGAGTAAAAGAGTAAAAATATCTGAAAATTGTGTTTTAAACCAAGGAATTTATCTGTAAAGGAAGGAGAATCCATCAAATCCAAGAACATTTTGAATATTTAATTTTTTTTTCTGCAAAAGCCCTCCACAAACCACAGAATGCCATAAACTGTGTTTGAACAACTTGAAGGACAGATGTGACAAATTCTGCTAGATCATTCAACTTCAGTTTCAGGTATTGCCAATAGAAAGTTCTTTCTTATACTAAAACAAAATCAGTCCACTAACAGTTTCTGCTCAGTGTTTTCAATTTCAACTTTTATAGACATTGTTCTGTTTCAAGTCCCTACATAGGTGGCTCACTTTGACATGTGCCCAGGTTCTGCATTTACTTCTAAAATTATTGCACACAATTTCAGCTCTGGGAGTGACTGGGTTGATGAGAAAAAATAATCAACTTTCGTGTTGTCAATTTGTACCAATACAGAATATAATGTACCTAATAATATTGTAGCCATATCATATCTGCTTCATATTTAGCTAAACAAAATTCTGATGGAAAAAGAAAATATCCTTATTATTTTTAAATAAAATAAAATAGTTAAAATAAGATTTGAAATTAGGTGTTTGATTTGTTGAATTACTGGGAGAACCAAAGGATAGCCAGTTGCAGATTTAAAAAAATCATGCTTTAAAAAAGGCTTGGGAGGCCAAGGCGGGTGGATCACGAGGTCAGAAGTTCAAGACCAGCCTGGCCAAGATGATGAAACCCCATCTCTACTAAAGATACAGAAATTAGCAGGGCGTGGTGGCAGGTGCCTGTAATCCCAGCTACTTGGGAGGCTGAGGCAGAGAATTGCTTGAACCTGGGAGGCGGAGGTTGCAGTGAGCCGAGATAGCACCACTGCACTTCATCCTGGGCAACAGAGTGAGACTCTGTCCCCCCCAAAAAATCTTAAATTATAATTTTTATAAGTATTTTGCAAGGCTAATTTGTTGATATGAAAGAATTCTGACACATTGCAAAGGAAATGGCACAACTACAAAATAGAAATGGCAGTGTAATGTGTTATCACATTTAGTATCATAGTTAAATATAATATTACATTTTAATTAAGTTAAAAATCATTTAAAACGATTGGCAAATTAATTTGATAAAAATGGCAGCATTTATAATCCTGCAGTAAAGCACATTCTTTTTTTTTTTTTTTTTAACATAAAGAGGCTCCTAAAAATCATCTATTTAGTTAGATCAATTTAGAGATTTTAAAACAAACTGATTTTATTAGCTGCTGATGCTTACCAAAATAAAATCTGCTGATATACAGGTTGTGTAATTTCTCTTTTTGATATTTTGAATTCTGTTTCATTTTGTCTGCAGTGATTTTGTATTAACATATGTATTTTCTTCAGTTTTTAAATTCCATGGCTGTCTTAATCTGTAAGATTGTTTATCAATATATAAAATTGTTTGCCTACAAATAGGTCTAAGAGGGTAAAAGATAATCTATATTGAGAATGGCCAGAAATGAAAAGACTTTTGAGGTATCATAGAAGGTCTGGAACAGAAACAAAATAAAGTCACAGAACATTCTTCCTGAAAGAAAAACTCAAGAATATCTTCAGAGATTCCTATTTTAGTCAAGGATATTGACACACAGAGAAGAACATGATTAAAGAAAGCTACTATCTAAAATGTTTTAGGAAACTCTAATAAGTTTTGTCTAGGAAATTACAACTGGATATGCATATATACACACACAAAATGCATATTATGTATATATAATGAAAGCATATGTATACACACATACATGTACATGCATAGCAATTACAAATGGATATATATACACACACACATACATATAAATATGACATGCATTAGATTATTTTTAAGGTGTACTATATTTGTTGTTATTTAAAGGTCTCCTTAAATTTTAGCTGTAAAACAAATATAGCTACATTTTTAAAGTTTTTAAATTTTTAGTTTGTGTGGGTACATAGTAGGTGTATGTATTATTGGATATGAGATGTTTTGATACAGGCATGCAATGTATGAGACTCACATCATAGAGAATGGGGATCCATCCCCTTAAGCATTCACTCGTTGTTTTACACACAACCCAATTATACTCTTAGTTATTTAAAAATGTACAATTAAGTTATAATCGGCTATATTCACCCTGTTGTATATAAAATAATAGGTCTTATTCATTCTTGGTATTTTTTTGTATCTATTAACCATCCCCATCTCTCCCCTCTCTGCAGCCCCCAACTACCCTTCCCAGCCTCTGGTAAGCATCCTATCCTATATGCCCACGAGTTAAATTGTTTCGATTTTTAGATCCCCAAATAAGTGAGAACATGAGATGTTTGTCTTTCTGTGTCTGGCTTATTTCACTTAACGTAATGATCTCCAGTTCCATCCCTGTTGTTGCAAATTACTGGATCTCATTGTTCTTTATGGCTGAATAGTACATTGTGCATATGTAAAACATTTTCTTTATCTATTCATCTGTTGATGCACACTTAGGTTTCTTGGCTGCTGTGAACAGTGCTGCAAGAAACAAGGGAGTGCAGATAGCTCTTTGATATATTGATTTCCTTTCTTTTGGGCATATATCCAGCCATGGGATTGCTAGATCATTTGGTGGCTCTATTTTTAGATATTTGTGTAAGCTCCAAACTGTTCTCTATAGTGATTGTACTAATTTACATTCCCACCAACAGTTTAGGAAGGTTCCCTTTCTCCACATTGGCGCGAGAATTTGTTATTGCCTGTCTTTTGGGGAAAAAAGCCAGTTTAACTGGGATGAGAAGATATCTCATTGTAGTTTGGATTTGCATTTCTCTGATGATCAGTGATGTTGAGTACTTTTTCATATGCCTGTTTGCCATTTGTATGTCTTCTTTTGGGAAATGTTTGTTCAAATATTTTTCCCATTTTTTGATGGGATTATTTGATTTTTTCCTAAGCCTAGGAATGCCTTAGGATTGTACTCTTCCTCCTCCAGCACACGGAAGCCCTCTCTGTACCATGCCACAGCTGCAGGCGAGTGAGTGAAGGGTGGTGTCCACAATTCACGACTTGTTTTTCCTATCTCTTCAGTGCCTTTTTCAATGATACAAAGTTAGAAGCAGGTACTATGAGCGCTAACTTGACTTTTTATTCTTATGAAGGAGATATTTTTCTGTGTGTAGTTAGTTGTTAAGCTGGTGTCCTTGCTAGTTGGAATTGGTGGAGCCTTCTTTTCCACCATCTTGTTCCACGCCCCTCCTATATCTACATTTTTTAAAAATCTTAAACTTATAGCTAATGTTTAACCTATAGAACCTGGCATTAGAAAAGCTAGCTTGTAGACAGACACCGTCTAACATGCTCAACAGAATTTTCTACTAAGTACACACTAGGATGGCTTTAATAAAATGACTGAAATATGACTGACACCACCAAATGTTGTCAAGGATTTAGTGCAAACTGAACTCTTATATATTGTTGGTTGGAGTATAAAATTTGAAAATCAGTTCCACGGTTTGTCATAAGGTTAAACATACACCTGGTATATGATCAAGCAATTCTACTCCTATATATTTAGTCAAGAGAAATGAAAGAACATGTACAGAAAAAGACATGTTTAAGAATCTTCAGAGCTACTTTATTTTCAAGAGCTATATTGTCTTTTTTAAACAAAGGCCTGATAGGTTTCTTAAAAAACCATCGCTTGTCACTTTAATAAGAGGAGTAATAATAGTTTACATCTTTATTTTTTTATTGCCCATGAGATTATAATTATCTCTTTTTTTCATAATAGTGCGTCTAATGAAATCAAGGTTCCTTAGCACTTATTATATAAAGAAATAAAGAATTTTTGTATGACTAATCAACATTTATTTCTGTCTTATTACATGACGACTATCTCCCTGGAAACTTGTAGCTATATTGATGCCTAAGTTAATTATCAGTAACATAGAAAATGTGCAAAGAAAAAACCCAGGAGAAAAAAATCAGAAAATATGAATAATCTAATAAAATTTTAAGAGTCATACAAGTATAGTTGTATGCCTTTATTTATCAATAAAAACTAATTATTTAGGAGTAAGTTATATTGTATAGGTTTCTTTGACAGGTGCATTTAGTTTTCAAAATAGAATTATTTTTGTTTTAATTTTCACTTTGAGTAGTTTTAATGTAAAGTGTGATAAATATTCCCTCATAGCACAAGTTCTAGCTGGCTCTCATTATGACACCTAAATTGGATAAATTATTCTTGCTTTTCTGGATAGAAGTCATAATTGTAAACTGCTTACAATTTGCATTTATATTCCAAGATACTAGGAAAGTATCAGGCACTGCCTTATCAGATTTTATGACACACTCGGGTCTAAGGTAGTCTAGAAAGCAGCAATCATGTATTGGATTCAGAACTGATTGAAAGCTGGACAAAGTTTAGTTGGATTGTAAAAAAATGCATACTGTATTATTAATAGGCATTTGAGAATGCATTTAAATTGGGGAGCAAAAAATGTCTTTACAGATTAAGGCAGATTATCTGTTGTCAAAATCAACATATGAGTCCAGATGTTAATAATAAAATACTTTACTCAGGAGGACTATTGCAATAGGGAGATGTTCAAAGCCTAGGCCATAAAAGTCTCAAGTAAAGGGTACATGAGCACAGCTTTTATATACAGAGACCATGAGTGCGGAAAGAAGGGTATGCTGCCAAAACTGCTAGGATGATGCCTTGAAATTTAACAAACTGTATCAAATATTGTAATAAGGGGAAGGTTGAGGTGCATGGGAGGGAGTTTGGGCCTGAAATGGAGCAACTAATATACAGTGCAAAAAGTTCATGTAAAAAGTTTACGGTCAACTGCCTTTGTCAAGCCAGCTTGAATTTATGTGAAACACAGCCTTTGATCAGCCTTGTAAATTCCTTTTCATGTTTAAGAAAGGCTCAGAGACATTGTTTTTGAAAAACTCAGGGATTAGGGAAATCCTAAGTAGGGAATGACTGAGTGAAATATTCATCATAGTCAGATTTTTCTTGGTGATATCATTCCTGAAGGAGCAGTTGTACCCTCTGTTGGACATGCAGTTTGATTGATAGTTATTGGGAGATTCTATTGATGAAGCATTTGGTCAAGGAAATTCCTATAATAATAAATAGAAGGAGAAAAATTAGAGGATGAATGAGAGAGTAAAATCAGTACTTTAGTTTAGGAGGCAACTGTCAAATGGATTCCAAGATATGGGTGCAGAAGACTCTCTTATTGGTGGTATGAGGATGACTATGTTGATGTAATAAATTTTCCTTTGTGAAACCCTTCCATAATGGAAGTGGTCCAATGTAATTATCCTGCCACATTGGCTGGCTGACTAACCCAGGGAATGGTCCACTATGGGAGAATCAGTGTTGATCTCTGTTGGTAGCAGATTGGGCACCGAGCAGTGGCTGTAGCCATTTCAGCCTTGACGAGTAGAAATCCACATTTTCAAAGTCCATGAATAACCTCTGTCCCTGAGATCATGGACACTTAGTTCATATGCCCATTGGGTGATGACGGGAGTGATCTGGGAAGGAGGCTGGCTGGTATCCACAAATGTGTTATTCAATCCACTTAATTATTGATATCTTCTTCTGATGAGGTTGGTCTTTGGTCAGTATTCATGTGGGACACAAATATCTTTATGGTTTTTGCTCCTTCAGAAAGTTCTATCTGCATACATCTTCCCCAAATTTCCCTGTCACCGGTTTTCCAATCAAGTTCCTTTCAAGTTCCTGACTGTCCAGCAAACCATTGGCCACAACCCATGAAATGGTACATAATCACATTTCTCCTTCCAAGCAAAGTGAACAACCAGTGGATGCTCAAAGTTTTGCCCACTGGGAGAAATTTTTTTTCACCACTGTCCTTCAGGGATGTCCCAGAAAGAGACTGTAGTGCTGCTACTATCCACTTTTGAATGGTACCTGCATATCATGCAGAATCATCTGTAAACCAGGTCCAAGCCTTTGCTTCTTCTGTCAACTGATCATAGGAAACTCCCCATGAGGCCATAGATGCAGGCTGGGAAATAGGAGGTAGTGTATTATGAGTGGAGACCATGGGCATTTGTACCACTTCATGCAACCTGTGCTTTCAGGGCCAGTTTGGGCTCAATCTTCTATATACCACATTCAGTTCGTGATAGAGCACTACTGTGCACACTCAACTTCATGGTTTGATAGATCAGATAATACCCAGTTCATGATGTTTACCTCAGGTCACGAGGTAACTTGGTCACCCATGGCTAAGTGTTCAGTCTCTGCTAAGGCCCAGTAGCAAGCAAAAAGCTGATTTTTAAAAGGAGGTTAGTTACATACAGAGGATTTCAGGGCCTTCCTTCAAAATACTAAGGGTCTGAACTGTGATTCACCTATGCAGGTCTGCCTAAAGGTACAAACAGCATTCCTATAGGCTACTAACAATTCAAACACCATTGGATCTGCTGAATCATAGGGCACAATTGGCAGAGCAGCTTGCAGAGAAACCTGGACCTGTTACAGAGCCTCTGTCATTCTGAGATTCCTTCAAAACTAACAGCTTTTTGAGTCAGTAAATGGGCTAGAGTAACACACCCAAATGAGGAGTATCATGCCTCTAGAATCCAAAGAGGTTCAATGGACTTCATGGCTCTTTTTTGGTGGTAGAAAGGGCTAGATACAACAACTTATCCTTCACCTTAGAAGGGATATTTCTACATGCCTTACACCACTGGACCCCTAGACATTTCACTGAGGTGAAAGACCCCAGAATTTTGTCAGATTTGCTTCCTACGGTCTGACACACAAATATCTTCCCAATCAGTCTACAGTGGCTGCTACTTAGTTCTTATTACTTCCAGTCAGCATAGTGTCATCAATGTAAAGGACTAGTGTGGTATCTTGTGGAAGGAAAAGTTTATCTCAATTTTTATACGACCTGTCAGCCAGAAGGGACAACATAAATTTACTTTTATCAGAACCTGTAGAGTTTGTAATTGTGGGTAATTGACTGCTTGCTAAGAGCTGGAAGCACAGATAAAGGAGTACAAGGCCTCGAGAGTACATTCACCAAGGCCTTTTAAGAAAGTAACAAAGGGGACTGAATACCTTAAGCTCTCTCTCTTCCATCTTCTGATCTTTTGCCACTGCAATCTCAAAAAGAAATACAATGGCAAAGGAACCTAGATAATAGAATTCACACAACTCAACTTCAAAGGGAATATAGTAGAGTAGAGAAAGATGAACTCAAAGGTCTAAATGGAGACAAGCTAGCGTTTTTAAAATGGTATCTTGCTTTCTGTAGTTGTTTCTTTGTTTTAGCAAACTAAGTGAATGTCTACAGAGGTGTTTATGCAAAATCTCTAAATACAAATGTACCATAGCTTAGAAGTTATTAGAGTTGTTGCATTTGTCAGAATTGTGGATATTCAAATATTCCTGAAACTGAGAAGGGGTTGTGGCAGACATCCAAGAGGCTAAAGTGGGACCTCATTAGTCTTTGGACGAAAAGGGACTCCTGGGCCCATCTAATATGTGCCCTTTAAATCCTTAGTATACATATATACTATGTAATTTAATATTCTGTTTTAAATTCCTCATGTATACAGAGATAGGTACACAATAAAAGATAAATATAAGGGTGCGTATATAAGAATGTGTGCATGCAGTACTAAAATTTATCTTGCCATTCTTGCTTGCGTTTCTAAATCATCATTTGTAGTTCTACTTCTCCAGAAACGTTCTCTCAAATTCCTGAAATATTGTTATGGCTAATTAAGTAGGTAACTCAATTTTTTGTTAATATCATAAAGAAATTAAGTAATAGTGAAGAAGAATAGAAAAAATGGCATATTTTATTAAGTTGGAAGCACTTAAAAATAATTCTGAAATAATATATGACAGTATGTGAAGATAAATTAACAATGCCTTTTTGTGCTGCAATATTTTATGGAAATCTTTATAAGTACATACATACTTTTCTTGCATATGTAATGTGCTTCCAATTCCCATTTGTAGTTCTGATATGATATTATGGTGCATACTGGTAAAGCTATTGTTTTACCCGACTCTTTGTTGTTGTTGTTATCGTTTTCAACTTTGTTGGGGATAGATTTTTCGAAAGCATAAATAGAAAAATTTCTAGTGAGAGGCTTGTCCTTCAGAGACTTCATGTGTTTCCCTATTTTTATGAACGTATTAGTGGCAGCAAATAACAATAATGTTACTATGCAGTTCATTTCCTCTTAGCCACATTCCCATGACAACAGCTAAGTAATTCACATTTCAGAAAAAAAATTTAGAAAGATAAAAGGAGCATAATTACCTAGAATTTTCTGATCCCATGAAAGACAGAAACCTAATAATAAGACGTTACTGAAAAATAAGAATCTGTCTCCTACTATTTCATTTCTATAATAACTTATGCATTGCCTTATTAATAAACGTTAGTGTTGAGTGATTCTTTTGAAGAAATGTCCACATTTTCCATTAATTTAAACAGTTGCATTTTCTTATCATATCTGATTGCTACCAACATTACTGAATTTCTTAAATTCATCCCTATATAAACAAATTCAGATAAATACACTGCAAATTTAACAATTTCAATTTTTAAACACATTGAAATTTGTTGCAATGCATAAGTGTTTAAATCTGACTAAATTCAGTTATAGTACAATACAAAAACTATGGGAAACCAAACAGCAGAGGTTTCTTATCACTATTTAAAAGTTGATAGACATTCATGAAGCATTAATTTGGGTCTAATAGTGTTTTATATAATGAAGACACAAAAAATAAAGCACACTTTCTCCCAAAGACAAACAGTTTAGAGAATCCATGAGAAAAGTTTAATACCATGTGACAGTTACTCAATTAGTATTATATTCAAAAAACTAGAAAAACATGTAGGAAAGACTTTTCTGTCTGAAATTATCAAGTGTTAACTACAGATAGATCATGCTATTGAAGTAAGGTTTTCAGAAAGAAAACTGGAGAATGACGTTATAGGAAGAGGATACAGTATAAACCAAGCTTGGAGCCATAAAATTAGTTCTAGTTTTCAGGAAGGAGGGAATAGTTCAATGTATTTAACATATGGGGTATAATTGAGGTGGTGACTACCAATACAATCTGCAATCAAGTTTTGAAAGAACATGTAGGATTTTTTTTAGTCTATCCTGTGCAAAATAAATTTTATTTTGAAGAATGCATGACTTCATGCGTGGTGTTTTTCCTAGGTTAGAGGCATTGACTTGATTGTATGAGTGGATTTGAGCATGGAAGAGTTTAGACTGGATTAAGAAAATGTGGCACATACACACCATGGAATACTATGCAGCCATAAAAAAAGGATGAGTTCATGTCCTTTGTAGGGACATGGATGAAATTGGAAATCATCATTCTCAGTAAACTATCGCAAGAACAAAAAACCAAACACCGCATATTCTCACTCATAGGTGGGAATTGAACAATGAGATCACATGGACACAGGAAGGGGAACATCACACTCTGGGGACTGTTGTGGGGTGGGGGGGAGGGGGGAGGGATAGCAGTGGGAGATATACCTAATGCTAGATGACGAGTTAGTGGGTGCAGCACACCAGCATGGCACATGTATACATATGTAACTAACCTGCACAATGTGCACATGTACCCTAAAACTAAAAGTATAATAATAAAAAATAAAAAATAAAAAAAAGAATATTTAGAATAGAAATAGAGATTTAAAAAATCGTACATGAGCCCAGATGGAAGCCATAGGAGAAATTCAGAAGTCCAAAATGAAAACAAGGTAGGCATATAGTACAACTGAGCTATAGTTAACTTAAAATGTATACCACCATAACTTTTATCATCCTCCAACTTGAGTAAACAATGTTCACAAAGACATAAGATGTCACTAAACCCAGAGAAGCCAGAAGATAATATGAGGATGTGAGGGCCAGTTAATCTGTGTATACATGAGCCACATGAAGCCCATCCTGTCCCATATACTTATTTACACACCCCCTTGGAGAGAAGCAGAGGCTACAGTAGAAATTACCAGAAAATATGAGCTTTACTTAAAAGAGTAATTGATGTCTCTATTAACATAAGGTGTCCTGTTTACTCTATGAGTTCTTAAACTTTTCTCTGTCTTTAGATTCCAGCAGTTCAACTCTCATATGGCTTGATGTGACCTTTTCATTATTCCTGCTTAGGTGTAACAGTACTTGTTGAATCAATGGATTTGATGGCATTTTCAGTTTTGCAGTATTGTGTTCCTCTTATAGATATTTTTCTGCTCTACTTTCCAGTTTATGTATTTTCTATTACCAAGTACAGTAGTTCTTCTTTATCTATGGAAGATACATTTCAAGACCCTGAGTGGATGTCTGAAACTGCAGATAGTTTCAAAGCCTATATATTTTTTTGATCTGATAACTGATAAGGCTACTAAGTGACTAACAGGCAGGTAGCTTATATAATGTACATACAATGGACAAAGAAATTATTCGTATCCTAGGTGGGATGGCAAGAGATTTTATCATGTTCCTCAGAATGACATGTGATTCAAATATTATAAGTTGTTTATTTTTTGAATTTTGAATTTAATATTATCACATTGTGGTGGATGGTGGGTAATGGAAACTAAAGAAGGCAAAACCACTGATAAGGGGGGTTCTACTGTATCTCTTCAATTACTCCTTCTGGTCTATCTTCTTTCTCATCGCCTCTTGGAATCCAATTAATTATAAAATAGAACATTTCATTGCTCCCTGTGCCTTTTAAAAATATTTCCAACCCCTTTCTCTCTGTTCCTCTACAGATACTTTCCTCTGCTCTATCTTCCAGTTTATTAATCCTCTATTCAACATTTCCTAATCTGCTATTAAACCATATTGAAGGTCTTGATTTTAATTATTATTTTGTAGTTCATAACATCCTTCGGATCTTATAGTGTAGAGTCATTTTCTTCCTTGTCTTTTAAATTCCTGACCACTTAAGTCATAGCTATCTTAAATTTTCAGTCAGAAGAAGACAGGTGATTATTAAAAAGTCAAAAAACAGCAAATACTGGCAAGGCTGTGGAGAAAAGGGAACACTTACATACTGTTGATGGGGATGTAAATTAGTTCAGCCACTGTGGAAAGCAGTCTGGACATTTCTCGAAGAACTTAAAACAGAGCTACCATTTGATCCAGCAATCCAAGTACTGGGTATATACCCAAAAGAAAATAAATTATTCTCCAAAAGAAACCCACATAAACTCACATGTTCATCAATACACTATTCACAATAGCAAAGCCATGATATCAACCCAGGTGCTTATCAATGGTAGACTGAATAAAGAACATGTGGTACATATATACGATGGAATACAATGCAGCTATTAAAAGTGAAATCATATCTTTTGCAGCAACATGGATGAAACTGCAGGCCATAATCTTAAGCAAATTAATGCAAAAACAGAAGATCAAATAATGCATTTTGTCACTTATAAGTGGGAGCTAGATATTGAGCACACATGGACATAAATACGGAAACAATAGACACTGTGGATTACTAGAGAGTGGAGGAGGTGTTAGTTAAAAAACTACCTATTAGGTACTATCCTCACTACCTGTGGGATAGGAATCTGTATTCCAAACCTGAGCATCATGCAATATTCCTGTGTAACAAATCTGCACATGTACCTCCTGTATCTATAAATGGAAATTTAAAAATCACATTATATACCATAAACAAAATTTCTATTTGTCCATTAAAGTTGAAAACAAATTTATCCATTGAAATTAAAATATATTGCTGGTTATATATTCTCAATATCTCAATAATTAAAGTCAAATTAACACAAATATTAAGTCAATAAAAGTAGTACAGTTGAAAAATAAAAAGAAAATTCCTTGAGGAGAAAAGTGACACCATATACTATGCTCACTTGTCTTGGTTTCTTTGTCATGTGAACAATGATCTGAAGATTCTTATACTTTACTAGCTTTCTACTCTCTTCAAAATTAAAAAGAAAGTGTCTAAAGTTTTCTAGTAGTTATCAGTTGTGTGGTTAATATGAAAAACCTCTTTCACCATTGTTCTCAGATCAATTTTTGATGAAATAATCCATCTTTGTTTACTTGGCACATGTAACTGTAGTATGAATGAATTGTACAGTCCTATCACAAATGTAGGCTATGGTGTTTGCAGCCAGAAAACAAAAACCGATTAAATCTATAGTTTCAAGGGATGATCCTGGTGACTATGTGGAAAATTGATTGCACTGGAGGTAAACTGGAGTAAGCATATCAGAGAGTAAGTTACTGCAAAAAAGTTGATGAGTGTGAATTAGAGCATTCGAAACAGAGATAAGGTAATACGGACATGTTTTTAGTTGTCTTTATAAAGAATTAACTGATAATTGGAAAAGAGATGAGGTTTTATGTCAGTCCTTACCTTATGGATATGACATGATCCTAAGCTTGAAATATTGAGTACATGGTGAGACATTTTTTCAAGACAAGAAAAATTAGTAGGAAAAATAGTCTTTTTCAGGGAAGGTAAAGTGTTGGATTTTGATCTTGTTGAATTTGAAGTTAACAGACTCTTCTGAAAAGTGAATGTAGGGATAAAAAGACAAGTTAATAAGGCATTCTAATACCCCATTTCTGGTTTTCCAATAACCCTTTCAAATTGAAACTCAGTGTAATCCCATAATCACTGAAGCCTGTGGGCAATATATTTTGCTGAGAGCTATGGATATAATGTATCTTATTCTGGTTTGTGCTGCTCTTACAGAATACCACAGACTGGGTAATTTATAATGAACAGAAATTTATTTTTCACAGTTCTGAAGACTGGAAAATCCAAGATTTAGAGGCTAGCATCTGGGAAAGGTCTTGCTGTGTCATTCCATGGTGGAAGGCAGAAGAGCAAGAGAGAGAGCCCACTCACGAAAGTCCTTTTATTAATATATTAAACTCATTTATCAGGGTAGTGCCCTTATGGTCTAATAATTTCTCAAAGGTACCACCTCTTAATACTGTTACAATGGCAATTAAGTTTCAAGATGAGTTTTGAAGGGGAACAACACTCAAATCATAGCATAATGCATATCTCCAAAATATCCTAAAAATAGTGGGTAGATTTGGAGATACACTTAAAGAATCACAGTAAATTCTACTCTTCTGATTTCTAATTTAGTGCTCTTTGCACTATACTATGAAATTTGTGGATGAAAGTTGATGGGTTAGATGCAATAGATACTAGAAGAGTAAAATCAACATGTTTGCTTACTGAAAGGTTATGAGAAAGAAGTTAGGGCCTTCTGAGAGAGGAAAACCTTTAAAAAATAATTGTGATTTTCAAGGTAATATGAATAGATGAATATTGATGTCAATGTAGGAAGACATCAGAGATTTAAAAGGTGATATACTCTGATCCAGTAATGTTTGATGGACCAAATAAATCTCTACATGAACATTAGTCAGACGAAAAGGGAGATTTATATCTAAAGCTCAGGAAACCATGACTATATTGTAGAACATATGGTCTAGCAGACTATGTAATACTTACAAACCTTGTTTTTGATGCTATTTATATTTATGCAGTTTATATCACTTTTTTGGCAAACATCACACTGTTCTATTTTCATACAAATAAAACCACTGGATCTCTTTCAAGTTAATAGCTGATAAGTTAATTCTTAAAATATGTGTGCTTGTAAACTTTGGGTTTCTGAACCCGAATGCAGGGCATGTAGTATCTCTATGCTAAATTTTAAATTGTTAATTTTTTTATTACCAATGTGTTTCTTATTTTTAAAGAAACAGAGTGAAACATTGTATCTTTAAGTGTTTGATCATCCCTACAGTCACAAAATCAATTGATTCTTAAAATATGCCAAAACTTTTTGCCTCATTTTTAAAAAAAGGTCTTTAATGATAAGGTTACATGTATAGACAAATTTAAAAATAGATGTTGAAACAACAGATACGAGAAACAGAAACTACCATTGGATATGAAAAGGTAAATTTCCAGCACACATATGTAAAACAATGCCACATATATGGTGGGAGGAATGCCCTGATATGCTAATTATTCTACAATTCTCCCAATTCTCATATGCTAAGATAATGTCAATGGATGATGAAAAACTATCTTTTGGACATTTTGTAACTTAATGCTCTGAAGCGTCTGGCTTACACATTTTGTCAATGATCTATCTGAGTGTTTATTGTCTGCAAAAATGGGCATATATTGGCATTTCAATTTTTAACTAATATTCCTAGTCTGCCACTGACTATGGTGAAATATTTCCTAAGTTCATGAATCACTATAAAGATACTTCCTAAAGCCACTTCCTGGCCTGCCATGATGGCGTGTGCCTGTAATTCCAGCATTTTGTGAGGCTGAGGTAGGTGGATCCTTTGTGATCAGGAATTTGAGATCAGCCTGGGCAACATGGCAAAACCCTATCTCTACAAAAAATACAAAAATTAGCCGAGTGTGGTGACACGCTGATAGTCTCAGCTACTCGGGAGGCTGAGGTGCAAGGATTGCTTGAGCCTGGAAGGTTGAGGCTCCAGTGAGCCAAGATCGAGCCACTGCACTTCATCCTGGGAGACGAGTGATACCGTGTCTCAAAAAATAAAAATATAAATAAATAAAATGAATAAAGCCACTTCCCAAAGTTATCTTAATGTTGCATCATTCTATAGTGACCTGGCCACAAATATTGACATGAAAAAATTAAATGTAAAATATCTATTTCATTTCTAAGAGTAGAAATTATAAAGATCTGTAGGATAGTTTTATGTCCTCTAACTGTTATTTTAGAAAAGCCACAGTGGATTACATGAAACAGTCACTGGCTGAATTCACACTTTCCTTTTTAATCTTAAGTAGTTTAATTTTTATATAAAATGAAAACTCAAAATTCATAAGTGTTTTAAAAACAAAGTTGCATATATAAATCAAAATATTAGGTTAACAAAAAATACATAAACTCATATAATATTAAAGGTTGCCTCAAGGAGTATTTTGAAATTATATTAAATGGAAGAGAAAATTATTCTAGGGTTAAGTGTTAACAAAGAGAGTTTCACATAATGACAAGATTTTATCTTGCAACATGGTAAAGAGTTGTTGCTCAGAAACAAATAGGAACAAGGAAAGTTATAATAATCTGGAGCAAGTTCCTGTGAGAATAAGAAAGAGTCTAGAGAAGGAGGAAAGGGAAGTAATACCTAGAGAAGGAGGAAAGGGAAGTGATTTAAAGGATGTGCCAATGATTTCCTTAGAGACAATGAAGAAGTTCATGTTTCTATTGCTATTTTACAAAGGTCGAGAAAGAAGTGAGGATCTAAGGGTTTGAAGAAAGGAAGAATAAAACAGATTTAAGAGAGTGAGGCGCAGAGTTAGACACATGAAAAGAAAAACAAAAAAGACATAAGAGTCAAGAAATAGAGATAGAAACCTAAGAACAAAAGTGAGATTAAAAAGTTTGAATCTCTCAGTGTAAAACTAATCCCTTAGAGGAAAGAATACATACTTTTGATGCAGGCAAATCATAGGCTTAATTGATCATAGCAAAGTTAATAAGCCTCTGAGCTTCAGTTCTCTCACATGTATAATGGTATTATAAAAACCTACCTTACAGAATCATTATGAAGATAAAAGTATGTCAAGTAATTGTAAGTGTGTATGTAATAAAACTGATGAAATCTAAATCAGTTCTGTAAATTGTAAATTTTCTGGGTTTTATATTGTACTATATTTATGCAAGATATTAACATTAGAGTATACTTCTTTAAAACTTCCAGTGTATCTATAATTATTTCAAAATAAAATATTTGTAAAAGTAGGCTGGGTGGTAATAAGTTGAAAAAACATTGTTTTTTTTTTTTGTTGTTTTTTTTTTTTCAGAAGCATAGGGATTCGATTCATGGAGATTCTAATTCCTGGAGACAAATAGAGCAGTATAACTTTAATCCCAAGCCATCTCATTTTATTTAACAGCTGTACTAACAAACTCTCCATACATTAGAAAATGATGCTGTTACAGTGTTATTTATATCTTCCGCCGAATTTCTGACTGTCCTGCTGCATGATTCCAGCTTTGCCTCTTGGGCCGCTTTTAGAGGATCCAAGTGTCATGACACTAAAAGGTATAATTATAGTTAAATAAAAGTATTGCCTACTGAGAAAATAAGGAGAATTATTCTCCAGAGGCTAGCACTAGGGATGGTGGTGGAAGATGATGGTTGAAATTCTAAAAAGAGACATTTTAGCTATACTTACATAAAACTTATTTCAAAATTTGAATTGAAAAATGAGAGATAGTGCTGTTTGGCATGGTGAATAGGCATCACCGGGCATTTTGACGCTGAAGTTGAAACACTCCCGGTTTTTGCTCACTGATTTATCTCCATCACTTTGCATATGGCCTATCACTTAGTAAGGGTGAAAAATATTTCTTACTAAAATAACATATGACTAACGTAATGACTGAGTTACAATGAATGAAATAATTTGTGCAAGAGATTCCTACAAGAGCAGACAATGCAGCAAGCAGCTTCTACAATCCCCTGTAACTGTGAGGTTTTATGAGTCAACATAGGTGGGAATAACCCATGTGTAAAATCTGGACAGAAACTTGGATTCCAAATCCTTGATACTAATAGCTTCATCAAGTTAGTCCTAGACTGAGTTTAAAATATGGGACATGTTGGAAGAGAAATAGAGTCGTGTGACAAGGATAGAAATGCAACTGTCATAAAGGTAACAAAAATTAGATAACTTTTCCGAGACTAGCATTACTTTTTCATTCTTTGTCAGCAGCAAGTTTTCCAAGCCCATGATGGAAAATGAAGCTTAAGGCAATATGGAACAATGGAAGTGAAGCCAGTAGAGAGTATTTTCCTACATGAGAATTATTCTGTTGGGTCTGGTTAAATAGTGCTTTCTCTCTTATACAGAACATAAATTCTAGCAGAGAACTAAAGTTTGAAGTAAGATTGAACAGTAGAAACAATCAGATTCTTGTTCCAGGTCTTTATTTGTCAGAAAGAAGGACTTCACCTGGGGACATAAACAAGAAAGGAACCTCACCTCTGCCTCAAATGAACATTACATAAGCTGTCACTCCCTAATCACAAGTAGAAATAGACCTGAAAAATAACTGTGGGAGGAATCAACTTGGAACAACCAATGTCACTTAAATAATCAGTCTAACACTGAACTACTTCCTTCCTAAAGAGACCTGGCAACGAATGTGTTTACAGCATCACTAAAAGTCTTGACAAGGAACAGCCACTCCACAACAAAAATGAGACCCTTTTTTTTTTTTTTTACTGTAATAAAAGAAAAATGTATGTTCTCTATTGAAAAATATATATTGCCAATATATGTTTTCTTTACAAAACCATAGGTAGTCACAGATATTTCAAGAATGGTCTACTATATTTGAAATTATTTTCCATAACTAAGTTAATCTCTAGTTTCCTTTTTATCTCAATATTTAGAATCTCTGGTGATTTTACCTATGTTTTCCAGAGTCAAATTTTATTTTTCTCTCACTATGGTCGTCTACTGACAAGTATAATATAATATTTAATGTTTACAATACTCCTGTGAAGTCATTACTCCTATTTAATATATGTGGAAACAGAGAATCACTGCTTAAGATCAAGTTGATAATAAATGGCAGGAACTTCCACTTTTAACCAAGGACTATCAGGGATCAGCTTTACTTTCTTCTCTGAAGCACATACAAAATGGAAAACTATATAAACTGACAATTTTCACAACACTGATTATCAGGCAAAAAAAGACATCGATCCCACTGAAATAGGACTCAAACACAGTAAGCCGTGATTACCCCAGATTATTGCCTTAAAAGAGTTTCATGAACACAGTGTATGGAGGCAGCATGCAGGCTGAGCTCAGCATACTGGCTGAGGTGAACAGAAAAGTGGCAAGACGAAGGCAGCTATAGTTCACAGTGCAGAGTAAGAGAGAAGAGAGGAGCTTCGTAAGAGAGAACTCCAGAGATTTGCAGTATTCATTTGAGACAAGAATTCTCAAGTGAACACTCAAGTATTCAGCTGAGTACTGATTAGCACATATGTGTGAGGAAACAATTGGAGATTCAGAAAAAAACCACCAACAGTATTGACAGAAACAGAAACTGTTTCTCAAATAGGGCTTGGAATAGTGCCTTTTCCATTTTCTTTTTAACTTTTATTTTAAGTTCAGGGGTGCATGTGCAAGATGTGCAAGTTCATTACATAGGTAAATGTTTGTCATGGGGTTTTGTTGTACAGATTATTCCATCACCCAGGTATTAAGCCTAGTATCCATTAGTTATTTAATACTGCATTTTCCTATAAGCAACATAGAAAAACACCATGACTCATGGGATATTGAGAGAGTACCCAAAGGTGTCTTATATCAATGTGGGTTTATGCTAGGGCAACCATAAAAAAATTCACAGACTGGGTGGCTTAAACAAGAGACATTTAATTTCTCACAGTCTGGAGGATACAATTCCATGATCAAGGTGCCAGCAAACTTGGTTATTGGTGAGGGCTTTCTTCCTGGCTGGTAGATGGCCACCTTCTCACTGTGTCCTCACCTGGCCTTGCCTCTTTAGTTGCATGAAGAGAGAGAGATCTCTGGTGACTCTTCTCCTTCTTATTTTTTCTTCCTCCTCCTCCTCCTCCTTCTTATTCTTCTTCTTCTTTCCTCCTCCTCCTCCTTCTCCTTCTTCTTCTTCCTCTTCTTCTTTTTCTTCTTCTTTCCTCCTCCTCCTTCTTCTTCTTCTTTCTTTTTCTGTCTTTTCCACTAATTTTATTGGATGATCTCTCCACCCTTAGGTCCTCATTTAACCTTAATTACCTCCCTAAAGGCCCTATCTTCAACTATAGGGCCATTGAGGATTAGAGCTTTTCTATAGACTGAATATTTTTGAGCCCCATCAAATTCATATGTTGAAATTTAATCCCCAATGTGATAGTGTTTGGAAATTTACCCTTTGGGAGGTGACTAGGTCATGAAGGTGGAGCCCTAATGAATGAAATTAACTCCCTTATAGAAGGGGTCCCAAAGAGCTCTCTTACCCCATCCACCATGTGTAGACACAGCAAGAAGACTTTTGTTTATGAGCCAGGAAGTGGGCCTTCACCAGATGGTAGATCGGCTGGCACCTTAATCTTGGACGTCTCAGCTTTCAGAACTTTAAGAACTAAATTTCTGCCGTTTACAAGCCACCTGGCTTATGATATTTTGTTATATCAGCCTGACCAAGCTGAGACAGGCTTCAACATATGAAAGGGGGTGGGGAGGTGACATAATTCAGCCCATAACAGTGGGGAATATTTAACCCTAAACTGTGCAGTGATCTGGACTCATCTAGACTTCTTTTCCTTTTAATAATAGCATCCTTTTACTTATTTAGCTACTTATTTATTTTTATTTTTAAAATTTGAGTTTTTTATGTCAAGAAATTTGCTTATTTATTTTTTAGTTGAAACAAGGTAATTTTACATATTTACAGTTCATAGACTTCTTAAAAGCAAAACCCGGAGGAATCAAAATATTTTCAAGTATCATAATTGAGTCCTAAAATAAAATTCAAGAACATGTCTAAAGATACAAAAAATCCAGTACCCAGTAAGATAAAATTCATAATGTATGGTATCCAATAAAAATTCATCAGGCATGCAAAGAAACAGGAAAGCATAACTCATGATAAAGAGATAAATCAATCAAAACCTATCCATTAATGAGTGGCATCAGTGAAAACAGTAGAGTAGGGAATGCCAAGGTTCCAGTCCTCTACAGAAACACCAAAAAAAATGGAGTAAAATCTAAATCAACTTGGAGCTCTGGAAAATTGTCAAGTGCTTACAACAACAAAGCAAATGCTCAATTAAAACATAGGTGATTGAAACTTGATAAAGAACTTTATGATGTTTTTAATTACCCTTTTTCCCATTCTTCTCTCTTGCTTGGTGGCAATTTTGAAGGTGGAAGCCCACATTCTTGAATGGGTCCCTAAATCTAGAAGATTTAGAATATAATTGTTCTCAAGGAATTATGTCTGTTTGGATCTGTCCGGAGGCTCCCTCCTGAAGTATTGATGTAAGAGGCTTGCCTTTGTTTCACCTACCCAGGACGTTTCTCAGAGTTGAAAAGCAGCTACACAGAGGGCATGCCTAGAAAACATTAAAAGGCAAATAAACAAGTCCCTGCCATCTGGGCGAAAGATAAGAGTTTTGTCAAATAATAGACACACTGAAAGCCTGGGGAAAATAAGCTGGGCAATGAGATAATGTGGGAGATAAAAATTTTAAAATATCCTACCTATACCATTGAATCTAGGAAGCCACACATACCCATCACGTGATGTATGCTCAGAAAAGACCTGATAAGATCCTAAGCTTTTCCATCTGGCTCATCTTTAGGCTCATGGAAAATAGGAAGCAAAAGATAAGGCAGTGTTGTAAACAGACTAGCTAAGCGTAAAAGAAGCTATTCAACGTAGAACCAATTAGCACAGTCCAGGAAAGTGCTTTATTTTATTTACTTTGCTCCAGGTGTTCAAGGAAATTTATCAGGCCACTAGCTTATCACTAAGCTAAAAGGAGAGAGATTTCAGAGATCACAGGCAACACAGAATGTATTTTTAACAAAAGTCATTTGGAAAAGTCAGTGAACAACAACAACACAACCTAACAACCACAAAAAGCAGCAACAACAAACACTGGAGAGGGAGAGAATCTGATCTCCATAATTACTATGTTATAACATTGAAAATTTACGGTTTTCAACAACAAAATTATGGGACATGCAAAAAAATAACCTAAATAAATACACACACACACGAAAGTATGGCCCAAACGACGGGAAAAAATAAATTAATGCAAACTGTCCCTAAGGAAGCTCACACATTGAACTCAGTAGACAAATACTTTAAATCAACTGTCTTCATATCCTTAAAAAGAAAAAGGAAACCATGAACTAAGGAATAAAAGAAATGGGGATAGTACGAGTCTGAGATGAAAAAAGAGGGAGAGAAAAGGGAAGCAAGAATTTTTAAAGAAATAATGACCCCAAACTCACCAAATTTGATGTTAAAAACACAAATAAACACATCCAAGACACTCAATGGTCTCCAAGTAAGATAAACACAAAGAAATACACACCAAGACACATTATAATCAAACTGTTAAAAGACAGAGAGATTCTTGATAGCAGAAAAAGAGAAGTGGTTTGTCCCGTTTAAGGCTATCCTCAGATTAACACCTGATTTTCATAGAAAACCCTAAAGAATTCACAAAAAATTATTAGAGCTAATATGTAAATTAAGCAGAGTAGCACAAGATACAAAATTAATATGCAAACAACAGTTATATTTCTGTACATTAGCAAGGAACAATCTGAAAAGAAACTAAGAAAATAATTCGAATGCCAATGACATCAAAATGAATAAAATATTTAGAATTAACCAACGAAATACAAAACTTGCATACTGGAAACTATAAAATTTAACTATAAGAAATCTAAGAAGATTTAAAAAATGAAAAGACGTTTCACGTTTATGTATTAGAAGACTTAATATTGTTTACATGACAATACTTTCCAAAGTGATTTATAGATTCAATGCAATCACTATCAAAATCACAGTGGCCTTTTTTGAAAAAAATTGTCAAGCTTGTCCTAAAATTTATATTGCATTCCAAGGGACACAGGTAGCCAAATTCATCATGAAAAATAACAAAATTAGAGGACTTGCAATTCCAAATTTCAAAACTTACTACAAAGCTATAGTAATCAAAACAGTTTAGTAACTATAATAAGGATAGACGTTTAGCTTAATGAAATAGAGTTGAAAGTCCAGAAATTAAGTTATATCTACAGTCATATGATATTTGGCAAGGGTGCCAAATCATTTAATGGGGAAAATAGTCTTTTCAAAAAATATTTCTGGGACAACTATGTATCTACATATAGAAATTTGAAGTGAGACCATCTGTCTCCTCACACCATATATAAAAGTTTATTTGAAACAGAGGAAAAATCTAAATGTAAGTGGTAAAACTATAAAACTCTTAGAAGAAAACATATGGGTAAAATTCATTTTTTTAAATTAGGTAATAGATTGTTAGATAACATATGAAAAGTTCAAGCAACGACAACAAACTTTAAAAAGTAAATAAATTGAACATCAATAAAATTTAAAAAATAACTTTTTTGCATTAAAGGACACTATCAAGAAAGTGAAAAGACAACCTAAATATTGGGAGAAAATATGCTGTATGTGAAATATCTATTATTACATTAATATAGACTGTGATAAGTTAAAGATAATAAATCATAAATTGTTCACTTGAACCCATATTTCAATACCAACCCTGTTCTTCCTGTTTTATTTCCACTGTATTAGGGCTAGTGCTAGTTTGGGAGCCACCCTATCTCCTGTTATGCCACATTTTTTTTTCTCTGATTAATAGTAACCTGCAATTTCCAGGTTGTCACTTATCTGTCCAGGCATTCAATAGGAATTATGCTGTGTTTTCTTTGTCCCTAGCTCAATGGGGGTAGGGGTGGGGGGCTCTGAACAACTGTTTCCTGCTGTCCATGATTAATCAAGCTATGCAGCAAAATCAGTCCACACAAAAGCCAATTTCAGTGTACAATGTGTAGAAAGAAAAGGAGGAAAAGCAGTAACCCATTCCATCCATTAAAACAGTGGACTCACATGTGATACGCCTCGAGGGGCTTTTGCCTTTTTTTCAGTGATGATTCTTTAGTGCCAGAATGGTCTGGGTGATACTAGGGGGATGTAGAAGAGCTAATATTATTCTTCACAAGGTTATTGGTACTACACTTCTAATCTTCCATTTTTACAACAGATGCTGGATGTTACTGACACTGGAATGGCAGAATAAGAAATGCAAAATAGTTGCATTTCATTATACCCTTTAATTGCACTTTACAGCACTATGCAAAAGATTTCCTTTATAGGACTGAAGGCACAACAATGCATTTAAATAAAAAAATACATGCTGGTGTGTCAAATTAGAATGCCACTTTTTGCCTGTGCCCAACAAGTTATTTCTGTGCTTTTTTGTTGGTTTGTTTGGCCCACCTCCTCTATTAAACTACAGTTTAGCTTCAAAATTAATAAGACACAGGCACTAAACATATGCTTAAATGTCTACATAAATCTTATTCTCAAAAGATTAATACCATCTGTTGATTCTGTTTTCTAAGTTAGCCTTGACAGATTTAACAATGGACAAACGATTAGTTTCTAGAGATCCTTCATTTATTTTCTATGTGTTTGACTATAAAAGCTTTTGCTTTCTGCTGATAATAAAGTATATCTATAGTAAGTACCTATTTAGAGGTTGGGCTAGAGTTTTCAGCTTAGGAAGTATCTTACAGACTAGTTGTACTATAGTTACCATGAAAACTGGTGAAATGGAAAACATAAAGTGGTTTTCATTGCTTTTTTATTGATATATATCAATAGGAGTATTACATATTTAGGGGGTATATGTGATATTTTAATACCTGTAGAGAGTGTATAATGATAAAATCAGGATAATTTCAATATCCATCATTTCATTTAATTGCTTTCATTTATTTATTTTTTGGATTTTTTTTTATTTCAACTTTTAGATATAGGGGGTACATGTGTAGGTTTTTTACATGAGAATATTGCATGATACTGAGGTTTGAGGTATGGATCCTGTCACCTAGGTAATGAGCATGATACTCAGTAGGTAGTTTTTTCAACCCATTCCCCCTCCTTCCTTTCCCCCCTAGTAATCTGTAGTGGCTGTTGTTCATTGTTCCCATGTTTATGAGTGTGTGTGTTCAATGTTTAGCTGGCACTTATAAGTGAAAATGTGCAGGATTTGGTTTTCTGTTCCTGCATTGACTTGTTTAAGATGAAGGCCTCCAGTTGCATCTATGTTGCTGCAAAGGACATAATTTCATTCTTTTTTATGGCTGTGTAGAGTTCCATGCTGTATATGTACCACATGTTCTTTATCCAATCTTCCACTGATAGGCACCTGGGTTGACTCCATATCTTTGCTATTGTGAATAGTGCAGTGATAAACAGTGAATGTCTTTTTGGTAGAATGATTTATTCTCCTTTTGGTACATAACCAGTAACAGGATGGCTGCATCAAATGGTAGCTCTATTTTAAATTCTTTGAGAAGTCCCCCAACTACTTTCCACAGTGGCTGGGCCAATTTACATTCCCACCAACAGTGTATAAGTGTTCACTTTTCTCCACAGCCTCACCAACATCTTTTGTTTCTTGACATTTTAATAATTGCCATTCTGAATAGTGTAAGATAGTATCTCATTGTGGTTTTGATTGTATTTCTCTAATGATTAGTGATATAGAGCATGTTTCCATATGTTTTTTTTTGGCTGCTTGTATGTCTTCTTTTGAGAAGTGTTTGTTCATGTCTTTTGCTCATTTTTAGTGGGGTTCAAGGAGAAATACAAAACGCTGCTGAAATAAATCAGAGACAGTAAAAATAGATGAAAAAACATGCCATGCTCTTGGATCGGAAGAATCAATATCAAAAATAGCCATACTACACAAAGCAATTTACAGATTCAGTGTTATTCCTATCAAACTACCAATGCCATTCTTCACAGAATTAGAAAAAACAAAAGCTACTCTAAAATTCCTATGGAGCTGAAAATGAGCCCAAATAGCCAAAATAATCTTAAGGAAAAAGAACAAAGCTGGAGGAATCACACTATCCAACTTCAAACTACAATATAAGGCTACAGTAACCAAAATAGCATGGTACTGGTACAAAAACAGACATGTAAACCAATGGAACAGAATAGCCCAGAAACAAAGCTAAAAAAAAAAAAAAAAAGAAGAAGAAAAAGAAACAAAGCTTCACACCTGCAACCATCTGATGTTCAACAAGGTCGAGAAAAACAAGCAATGGTGAAAGGGCTCCCTATTCAATAAATGGTGCTGGGATAACCTGCTAGCCATATTCAGAAGATTGAAACTGGACCCTCCCTTTCATCGTGCACAAAAATTAACTCAAAATGAGTCAAAGAATTAAATATAACACCTCAAACTATAAAAAGCCTAGAACACAACCTAGGAAATATTCTTCTTGACATTGACCTTGGTAAAGAATTTTTGGGTAAGTCCCCAAAAGCAATTGCAAGAAAAACAAAAATAGGCAAGTGTGACCTAATTAAACTAAAGAGCTTCTGCACAGCAAAATAAACTATCGACAGAGCAAACAGATAACCTACAGAATGGGAGAAGATATTATCAAACCATGCATCTGACACAGGCCTACTATCTGGAATCTATAAGGAACTTCAACAAATCATCAAGCAAAAATAATAATAATAATCTCATTAATTGTTTTTAAATTACACTTGTAAGCAGGTTAAAACTTAGAAATATTAATCTCTGCCAATAAATTAAATATATAGTTCCAAGCTTAGATGGGGTGGGAATTGACACGCGAGACACAAGTTGAATGAAAATAAAAATGCTATGATGTTAACTGAGGTTTTCTCAATTATATTAAGACATTGATATTATTAAAAGGAAAACTTGATACAAATTAAATTTAACAGAGTTTAATTAAGCAAAGAATGATTCACAAGTAGAGCACTCCCCTGAACCAAAATAGGTTCAGAGAGACTCCAGCGCTACCACGTGTTTGGAGAGAATTTATGGACAGAAAAAGGAAAGTGACTTACAGAAAACTGAAGTGAGGTACAAAAATAGCTGGACTGGTTTCGGCATGGCATTTGCCTTATTTGAACATGGTGTGAGCAGTTGGCCACCTTTGACTGGCTGAAACATGATGATTGGCAAAAAGTAGGTTACAGTCTGTATTCACGTCCAATTAGGTTACAGTTCACTATGTGTGGAGAAAACTTTATGCCAAACTTATAAGGAGGCAGCTTTAAGTTAAACTTAATTGAACAGTATTCAAATATAGTAATATATTGAAGGATGGTGAAGTACATATCTCACTGCTAGTGAAAAATATTGGATAGTTGAAATTTCATCGCAGTTCTACATTTTTATGAATCGATTACAGTCTTCATTCTTCATTTGTTGAATATTGTTGATTATTCATTACATCCTATTTGTATGTCATTATATGTCAATCTACGTTCTAATAAGCTCAGGGCTTTAAATGTGAACCAGTATGAAATCTAACTTTAAACTTTCAGCTTTCTTTTTATTCTTTTTTAATAAAACATTGGGTTAAACTAGGACATCCATTTTAGAATTCAATAAAAACAATTTTAAAAAGACTGTAACTTACAGTGGGTTCTCCTTCCAACACATTAAATTCCAAAACATGCATTCTGAAATGTAAACCTCTTGTGTTTTTAATATACAAATATTTCAAGTTTCAAATTTCAGGATATCACTGTCAGCCATTCTTTATTTTATCTATACAGAATTATTTTACAGATTTTGAGCACGGCCTACAGTAAGAAATACTTCATACATAATGATTTTCACACACATACATTTATTTCTTTAAATGGAAAAAAATTATAAATGATTTCCTTACTATGGCCAAGAACTTTAATATTGTCTTCTACTCCACTCTATTAATGGGTCTTGCAGTTGAAAAGCTCATTTAATAAATATTGTTGAAAATAGGCTAGATTAAATAGAGAATAAAATTTATGAAGACAAATATTTTCTTTGTCTTCTATGGAGGAAATTCTTCATATTCTCACTAAATCATTGATAAAATTGCACCCTCTTAATTCATTGTTTCACCAATTGCTGTGAAATATGGCCCGAAATACACTTTCATTGAAACGGACTTAATTTCTCAGTAGTTTGAAAATAAAGCAAGTAGATATTGAGGACTTCCATTACGACTGTGTTTGTGCTAACTATCTAATGTCACTTGGAAAATTGCACTAAAACAAGTTGGTTGGTGAGTTTTAAATGTCTGACTATTTTCAGCTACTTTCTATGAGATCATGGGACCCTGTGAGTTAGTGGCTGGGTCAAAAGTTTTTGTTTGTTTGCTTGTTTTTTGGAGACAGGGTTTCACTCTCATCACCTAGGCTGGAGTGCAGTGCCCAGCTAATTTTTGTATTTTTTGTAGAGACAGGGTTTCACCCTGTTGCCCAGGCTGGTCTAGAACTCCTGAGCTCAAGTGATCCTCCTGCCTAGGCCTCCCAAAGTGCTGGGATTACAGGTGCGAGCCACTGCACCCAGCCTGGGTCAAAAGTTATAGGAAAACTGCTTTATTTAATATTTCAGAAGAGGTCATAAATTGAGTGAAATTGTTAAAAAGAGTTTTTATATTTCATCTACACATGCAACTCTTATGGATTACTATATTATCCATCATCTATCTATCTATCTATCTATCTATCTATCTATCTATGTATCTATCTATATTGGTTAACCCACTTTTTCACTTACAACAGAGAATTTCAATCATTAAAAAGTGTATTTCAAGTACTTCAAGTAATTTGTTTAAAAGTTAGACATTTTAAACAAATCATAATAGAAAAACATCTTGCAAAATTTCTATATCATCCAGACTTCTTGCTTCTTGTATCTGTGTGTGTGCATGTGTGTGATTATAATGTATACAGTATTTGATTATGATATTTTACTTCTTGTAACAAGCAATATGAATTTGAAGCACTCTTTTCTTGCGATAATACCAAGCTATTTCAATTACTTTTTAGATTTTTATACCTTTCATTTTATTTCTTTCTTTTGTTTTAAGGAGAATAAAAAGTGTTACTGAGGGACAGGAAGAGAAATGGAGTCAACCTTATAGAGGGTTCATATAAACTTTTATAGCAATATCAATTAAAGTTTATTAGAGGGAAATATGGATAGAAATGCTATTTTAGGATTGCTGAGTAATTTATTGATTCATACTCCCATCCTAGTAAACTCAGCTAAACACTGATTATCACAGATATGCACTTTATCACCATAGTCCTTATTATTGTTCATGATCACCAATCATTTACTGATCAGCTCTGGAGTGTTAGAAAGCAAATGGAACATCCTTGTTTTGTGAAGTGTTGAAGCACAAAAGGGTATTGATCTGTTGCCACGTTACATTGCCGATTCATGTCTAGTCTGTGATTCAAAGCCGTTCCTCACTTTCTTGCAGAATTATTTTTTGTGGATGTTTCCTCCTAACCAAACCTTTTTATGTGTTTTATTAATGCTTCTCAAGTGTAGTCCTTTTTACTTCTTTTCATGTAACTTCCCTGTCCTTTATGCCTAATACAAAAATTAACATTTATGTGTGAAAAAGGCTATATTCACCCACAAAAAAGTTCTCATGTCAGAAAGGTTTAGAATTACAAATGACTCAGCAGGCCTTTTAAACTTCAACTCTTCAAAGCACTATTCTTGGTGTTGTGAAGAATCAGGGCTAAAACATAGCTGTTGCCCTCAAGGTGCTCATAGTCTACAGTAGCTAGGGGTTCAAGGGCCAGCTCTGCAATTTCCTATCTGAATACAGTTGTGTTCTTCAAACTGTTTGTTGTGAGTCAATTATACTTTGGCAAGTCAATTTACTGGGTCATGATCAACTTAAAAAATACCAGGACATAAGCAGATAGAATGTGATATAATAGAAAAAAAATCTTGAGTTCATTGCATGCAGGAAAAGTAAATTTGCTTTGTGAAACATTTGTCTCACATATAAAGTATATGAATATACATATTGGATAGTGAAATAAAATGTATTTTATACTTTTCATTGCAATCACATCAACCTACATGTCAACCTGAGTGTCCTGATCAATCGAAGTGTCCATCAATGGATAAATGGATAAAGGAAATGTGGTATATATACACAAAGAAATACTATTAGGGCTTAAAAAGAATATAATTCTGTAATTTGCAGCAACATTAATGGAACTGGAGCTCATTAATTTAAATGAAATAAGCTACGCAGAAAGACAGATATTGCATGTTCTCACTCATATGTTGGGGCTAGAAAAGTCAATCTCATGGAGGCAGAGAGTAGAATGATGGTTACCCGAGGCTGAGAAGGGTAGGGGTTCCGAGATGATGAAGAGAGTCTGGTTAATGGATGCAAACATACAATCAGAGAGAAGGAATAAGTTCTAGTGTTTAACAGCACCGTAAAGTAACTAAGTTAACAACAATATATTGTGTGTTTCAAAATAGCTAGAAAATAATATTTGAAATATTCCCAATAGTAAGAAATAATAAATGTTTGAGGTGATAGCTATCCCAAATACCCTGACATGATCACTACGTATTATATGCATATATCAAAATATCACATTTAATCCATAAATATGTATACGTATTATACATCAATTTTTTTAAAAAAAATTGAAAGTGTGAGAAACACTGATTTGAACTATTTCTTTTCTCTCATGGAGCTTCAGATCTCTTATCTATATAATATAAATAAAAATAACAGCAAACAATATGCATGTGCCTACTTTGCTAAACCCTTTAGTAGAATAATTCATTTAATTTTCACAATAACAAAAAGATACACATTTAACATGATTTATAAACTTGCCAATGCTGAAATTAAAAATTGATAGGACCAAGATTGTAAATAAGGTTGGCTACATAAAAGGAGGACCTAAATTACAGAACTGATAAAGGATAAATGATATGAAAAGTGTTAAATACTATACAAATGTAAAATATTATTTAGACAAGAAAAGTACAAATTCAATTTTCATCGTAATATAAAGTGATGATTTAACCCAAAGAAAACTGTCGATACTTATATATTTTATTATAAAACAATTTTCTACATGTTATTTTACCTAGTCTGTTTTCATTTTAATTTGTTGAAGTATTTTGCACATATCTAAATTTTTTATTATCATATCCCAATTTTAAGGTAGTCTAGATATGAGTTCACAGCATTCACTCACTTTTAAAGTAGATTGATTTTTTGAAAATAATCTTTATTGTATATAGTATAGGCAAATAATCAATGAACTTCCAAAATCGGTAGCAAATTTCCACATATTAACGACCTTCATATTTTGAGTCTCATAGAACTAATCTGGCATATTTGAAAAGTAATAGATGATTAATTCTCTGTATAAAATTATTTCAACAAGTAATTATATTTTAGATGTATTTAAAATAGCCTGTATTTATCTCGCTCAAATTCAACAATGCATGTCGAAAGTGAAACAAATCCTGTTCATTCCTGAACTGACTTACAGTAATAAGAAACTAGAAGTGGACTTAGAAGTTGAAATTTAATGATACATTTTACATTTAGGTGAATATGGCTTAAAAAAGAATGGATACCAATTTCTGTAGAATTAACAAAAACACACAAAGATACTCAAAATGTGTTATACTCCTCCCAAACAAGATATAATGATACCGATTTAAATAACTTTACAGTCACAAATATCAATTCAATAAGATTATTTATATAGTAAGATTTCTTTAAAGTAGCTGATATTTTAACTCTTTGTCATGCAAACCATTAAGCTCATAAGCATGGATTCTTATCAGCCTTCCTCAAGTCTTTACACTTGTCATAATCCATATTTTTTCTTTGCGGAAGGTTCCCTATGAAGTTTGTCTACTTTTTAATTCATGGTGTGCAAGAAGAAAACGACAATATGAAATATATTTGTCAATTATAAATTTGTCATTTATTTAAATATCACTATATCCTGTACCAGGTGTAAAACCTTTTGATAAATCTTTTTGAGTTGTCAGGATCATAACAAAATTAATTCAAAACAATTGTACGTGATAGGCAGTAAATAAATCTGCCAGATTGTGAGTTTTAAAAAAATAGCATCACTGTGCTTCATTCTTTTGACTTGACAAGTAATGAAAAGACCTTCATTAGGAGACCATTTCACAGAATTTGATGAATAACTTAAAGACAAATTAAAGATTGTAAGACTGTAAGATAAATAAGGAGAAAATGAAGACCACTGTCGTTTGCCAAATGCATGACGTATTTAACTAATACTCCCATGGAAGTTTCTACTTTTCACAAAGGAGGTTTACATATTTTCAAGTGTTTTCTCAAAGTATCTCCACAAAGGATCTGCATCAGATTCATCTTCAACTCTTGTTAAAAAAGCAGAGATTTTTAAACCCCACTTGAGTCCTACTAAGTTAGACTCTGTGAAGGTTAGAATACAAGATCTTTAATTATAACCATCTTCTGTGGTTAACTGTATTCATAGGAATCTAAGAAACATGCATTTTACACCAGAGCAGAATCCAAATCCTGAGTGGATTTATTTAGAGCGGAGTTCTGCCACCTAGAGTTTTGGAAATTTTCAGGAAAATTTTGGTTGTCATAATGATTGGGGTGCACTATGACTGGCATTGAGATGGACAGAGCAGGACAGTCCTGCACTATACATAACCATCCCACATCCTCGCAACTTTTGATTATTGTACTTGGCATTCGTAAAAGTGAAAACTGTTGTGATGGTTAATATTAGGTGTCTACTTGATTGCATTGAAGGATGCCTAGAGACCTGGTAAAGTATCGTTTCCGGGTGTGTCAGAGGAGATTGACATTTGAGTCAGTGGACTGGGAGAGCAAGACCCACGTTCCGTGTGGGTGGGCACCATCCAATCAGCTTCCAGTGCAGCAAAAACAAAGCAGATGGAAGAAAGTGAGATAACGTGGCTTACTAGGTCTTCTAGCTTTCATTTTTCTCCTGTGCTGGATGCTTTTCACAAAGGAGGTTTACATATTTTCAAGTGTACGTATTTTCAGACTCCAGGTTCTTCAGCCTTTGGATTCTTGGACTCACACCAGTGGTTTCCAGGTGCTCTCAGGCCTTCAGCCACATACTGAAGGCTGCATTGTTGGCTTCCCTGCTTTTAAGGCTTTGGGACTCAGATTGAGCCACTACTGGCTTCTTCCCCAGCTTGCAGACGGCGTATCCTGGGACTTCGCCTTGTGATCGTGTGAGCCCATTCTCACTACTAAACTCCCTTTTATGTAAACATATATCCTATTAGTTCTGTCACTCTGGAGAACCCTAATACAATCATATTTACAATCATCTGATAACAGAGACCACTTCTGTTTTTGATATAAACAAAACTTCTTTGCAAGGTTCTAATACACTAGGTTTTTATTTTGGAATCACTACTGTATAAATTTAAAGAAGGCTGTGCATTGTTTGGTTTAGAATTTTATCAAGTTGTCTGCTATTTTTGAAAACTGCATCAGTTGTGGTAATGCTGCCCACATATTTGATTTGTCAATACAGTGCTCCTCTCTCAGGCTGCATTTGTAGCTGTTGCATTTATGGTGATTCCATGCATAGGTGAAAGCCTGTAAATGCTTCATTAGATCTTCTGGTGTAATCAGGCCTGAGCATCAACATACTGAAATACATGTCATTAATATTATCAGTTACTTTCCTTTTATTTATCATTAATATTATAGTTAAAGCTTTTTAACTTCTCATTTATTTTTTGGATTAAGGATTATAAAGAAAATATTACAAAATGTTTTCATGAAAAAGATTATATTAGGTGTGACAAAGATAAGAAATGTTGAGAAAGAATTATCTTAGACCATTCTAGGCCAGAACTTTTTGTAAGATAATTTCAAAACTTCCTTCTAGAAAGGATTTTCGATTCCTGATACAATGTTTGTGCATCTTTCTGTTGCCTCTAAATGAGATTAAGAATTTATAAGGCCTAAGATTACCCAATTTACTGGCTGAATAGCCTAAAGATTGATTTTTCTTATATTTAACCAAATGCTTAAATCGCCTCAATCAAGAGTGATATGGTTTGGCTGTGTCCCCACCCAAATCTCATGTTGAACTGTATTTTGCATAACCCCCATGTGTCATGGGAGGGACCCAGTGGGAGGAAATTGAATCATGGAGACAGTTACCTCCATACTGTTCTCATGATATTTAGTGAGTTCTCATGAGATCCAATGGTTTTAGAAGGGGCTTCCCCCGCCTTTGCTCTGCATTTCTCCTTGCTGCTGCCATGTGAAGAAGGACATGTTTACTTCCTGTTCCACCATGATTGTAAGTTTCCTGAGGCCTCCCAGTCCTGTGGAGCTGTGAGTCAATTAAACCTCTTTCCTTTGTAAATTATCCATTCTCAGGTATGTCTTTATTAGCAGTGAGAACAGACTAGTACAAGGGGTGATTTTGTCCCCCAAGGGAAATTTGACCATATCTGGAAATAGTTTTGGTTGTCACAACTGTTGGGTGCTACTGGCATTTCATGGCTGGATGCTAAGGAATCTGTTAATATATTAGGTTGGTGCACAAGTAATTGCGGTTTTTGCCAAATGGCAAAAACCGCAATTACTTGTGCACCAACCTAATACTATAATGCACCAGATGCCCACCCCACCCCCACAAAACAAAGAATTATCTAGTACAAAATTACCCAGTACAAAATGTCAAAATGCCAAGGCTAAAAGTTTCTACTTTAGACAGTCTCTTTTTCGGTAATATGTTCATCCAAAAAGGGAATTTTTGAAATAGTCCACCCTGAGACCTCTCCCCTTAGTGCTGGCTTGAAAAAAATTTGACACAAGCTTACACATAATGTAGTTGAAAAGCTGTTTTTTCCCCTTTTATACTATTTAAAGTAACTAGCCCTGAGGAAGCTAAATAAAAAGACAAGATAAAATATGTTATTGAGTTGTAAAGTTTCTAGTTATTTCTATGGACTTAACTTATTTTTTAATGTACAGTGAGATATAAGAAATCATCACCAAATATTTATAAATTATGCTAGGGCTGTAAGAAAGTTAATAAATAGGAAATTATACTAAGCCATGTTAAAAAAGAAAATAAGGCTTAGGGTGAGATAGAAATAAAGAGGTAAATATTTAGAAAATGTTGAGCAGGAGAAATTTTTTAAATTTCTAACCAAGTGCCTATGAGAGAATTTGAAAATAATGCCAATATTCTAAGTTTTTCATTGGCAATAACAATGTTAAAAGGCTTTAAAAGAAAAATTTGGCACCCTCTTCTGATTACATTTCAATTTAAGAGTTCTACAGTTCATATGGAACTAAAATAGAACTTAAATAGCCAAAGCAGTCCTAAGCATAAGAACAAGCTGGAGGCATCACATTACCTTACCTCAATTTTTTTTTTTTTTTTTTTTGAGACGGAGTCTCACTCTGTCACCCAGGCTGGAGTGCAGTGGCGCAATATTGGTGTACTGCAAGCTCCGCCTCCCAGGTTCACACCAATCATTCTCCTGCCTCAGCCTCCCGAGTAGCTGGGACTATAGGTCCCCGCCACCACACCTGGCTCATTTTTTGCATTTTTAGTAGAGACAGGGTTTCACCGTGTTAGCCAGGATGGTCTCGATCTCCTGACCTTGTGATCCACCTGTCTCGGCCTCCCAAAGTGCTGGGATTATAGGCATGAGCCACTGCGCCCGGCCCTTACCTCAAATTATGCTACAAAGCTACAGTGACTGAAACAGCATGGTACTGGGATGAAAATAGACACACATTTCAATAGAACAGAAGAAGGAACCCAGAAATAGAGATACATATTTATAGCCAAATAATCTTTGACAAAGCCAATAAAAGCCCCCCAACATGGAGGAAGGACATCCTTTTCAATAAATGATGCTGGGTAAATTGGCTATCTATATGCAGAAGAATGAAGCTGGATACCGATCTGTCACCACATACAAAAAATTACTCAAGATGGATTTAAGACTTAAATATAAGACCTGAAACTATACAAATACTAGAAGAAAATCTAGGGAAAATTCTTGTGGACATTGGTCTAGGCAAATAATTCGTGACTAAGACCTCAAAAGCATGAGCAACAACAAAAAATAGGCAATTGGGACTTAAATGAAAAAGCTCCCTAACAACAAAATACATAATCAACAGAGTGAACAGACAACCTACAGAATGGGAGAAAATATTTACAAACTGTATGTCCCACAGGGGACTAATAATCCCTAATTTACAGGGAACTCAATAACAACAACAACAACAAACAAATAACCTCATTATAAAGCAAGCAAATGACATAAATAGACATTTTTCAAAGGAAGATATGCAAATGGTCATCAAACATATGAAAAAGTGATAAACATCACTAATCATCAGAGAAATGAAAACTAGAACCGCAATGAGAAATCATCTTACCTCAGTCAGAATGGCTGTTATTTAAAAGGTCCAAATGTAACAGATGATGGTGAGACTGCAGAGAAAAAGAAACACTTAGACACTGTTGGTGGAAATATAAATTAGTATAACCTCTACGGAAAACCTCTATGGAGGGTTCACAAATAACTAAAAATTTAACTACCGTTTCACCTAACAATCCCACTACTGCATATAACGCCAAAGGAAAAGAAATTATTATATTAAAAAAACTGTATTCATATGTTTATTGCAGCACTATTTACAATAAAAAAGATATGGAATCAACCCAAGTGTCCATCAACAGATGAATAAAGAGAATGTGTTGTACGCACGTGCATGTGCACACGCACACACACACACACACACACACCAGAATACTACTCAGCCATAAAAAAGAATGAAATCATGTATTTTGCAGCAACTGGATGGAACTGGAGGTTATTATCTCATGTGAAACACTTCAGAAATAATAAGTCAAATACTGCATGTGCTCACTTAAAGTGGAAGCTAAATAATGTTTACACATGGACGTAGAGGATGGAATAATAGATATTGCAGACTTTCAAGGGAGGCAGAGGGAGGAGGTGAGGGATGAGAAATTGCTGAATGGATATAATGCACATTATTCAGGTGATGGGTATACTAAAAGTCCAGATTTCACTACTATGCAATATACCCATCTAACTCTATGTACCTGCAAAAATTAAAAATTAAAACATTAAAAACTAAAAAATTGCACTTGTACCCCTTAAATTTATACAAATAATAGGTTATTAGTTATCCAAAATAAGAGAAAGCTCAAAAATAAGCCCAAGTATTTATGGCCAATTGATTTTCCACAAAGGCACCAGTAACACACAAGGGGGAAAGAACAGTCTTTTCAATAAATCATGCTGGGAATACTAGAAGTCCACATGAAGAAGAATGAAATTGAACCCTTTTCTATACAAAGCCCAACTCAAAATGGACACAAGACTTAAACCTAAGACCTGAAATTCTAAAGCTTGTAGAAGAAAACATAGGGCAAAACTGCACAACATTGTTCTGGCAATGATTTCTTGGCTAGGACTTGAAAAGCAGTTAACAATAAACAAATAGTTTGATGGCCTCAAACTAATAACCTTCTGCCCAGAAAAGTAAACAGAATGAAGAGACCACCCACAACTTAGGAGAAAATATTTGCAAACCATATGTCTGATAAGGGGCTAATATCCAAAATATATAAGGAACTCAACCAATGTAATATATCAAGAAAACAAATAACAAAACTTAAAATTGGAGAACTATCTGAACAGACATTTATCAAAAGAAGAGATAAGAATAGGTTAGAGATACATGAAAAAGTGCTCAACATCTCTAATTGTCAAGGAAATGCAAATTAAAACCACAGTATGGCCTCATACTTGTTTAAAGTGGCTATTATCAAAAGATTAATGATAGCACATGTTGGTGAGGATGTGGATAAAAGGAAACTCTTGTGCTCTTTTAGTGGAAATGTCAAGTAACCACAATCATTTAGGAAAATAGTATGGAGGTTTCTCAAAAAACTAAAAATAGAATTACCGTATGTGCCAGCAATCCCACTTCTGTATGTGTATCCAATGTAATTGAAGTCCAAATGTAAAAAAGATGTCTGTATTCCCATGTTCATTGTGGTATTATTCTCAGAAGTCAAGTTATGGAAACAACCTAAGTGTCCATCAGTGGATGAATGGAGGAATAAAAAAATATGGTAAATATAAACAATGGAATACTATACAGCCTTTAAAAATAAAGTAATTCTGTCATCTGCAACAATATGGATGGAACTGGAAGACATTATGCTAGGTGAAATATGACAGACACAGAAAGACAAATACTGCATGATCTCACTTCTATATGGAATGTAAAATTGTCCATCTCGTAGAAACAGATAATAGAAAGGTTACCAGAGGCTTGGGTTAGGAAGAGGGATGGGGAAAGGAAAGGTGTTGATGAAAGTATACAACATTTCAGTTAGACTTGAGAGATTAATTTTAGTGACCTTTTGCACTGCATTGTGATCACAGTTAATAACAGTAAATTGTATACTTCAAAACTGCCAAAAAGAACACATTTTTAACCATCCCATCAGAAAAAAAAAAGATGAATTTTGTAGGGTGATGGATATGTTAAGTAGCTTGAGTCTTTCTGTAATGTATATACATAGATCAAAACATCACATTTTAACCCATAAACATACACAATTATTATTCATCAAGTATAAATAAAGCTAAAAAATACATAAAATAATGCATTTTCCCAAATTTTAAATATCCAGGCTAAAGTGTCCTTCTTAGTGCTAAGCAAAACCAAATTTCTTTCTACCAACTGGGATTTATGGGGAGGCCAGCCTCAACACAAGCCTTCCAAAGAGCGGAGAGTAAAGAAGGAGAAAGACGGCAGCCTTTTTCTGGGGTTATGAAAATATTCATATGCTGTTCAGCTATAAAAAAATAAAGTTAGTCAAGTTTAAAAATAAATATGGGAGCAGCAATATATAAATTGGAAAATTGCTTAGACATTCTTATGAGATGAAAATTACCTTCCTAGAATTTTAAGATTAGCTTACTCAGACATATAAACATTCCCTGCTAATTGCAAATGCACATATTATAATAGCAAGTTCCCAAGTTGCACACTAAATTTCTTTGAAATCTTCAATGATTTCATATGTATATGTTGACATCTACTGGACCATAATTCTAGTTTTGTTCCTTTTTTTCAATTGTGAGAGACACGTAATGTAGTTCAAATAATAAAGCCTCTCAGTTAACAGGGAGCACACACACAAACACACATACAAACACATACATGAATCTGTTATCATGTCCTAAATTCCTCATCAATCATTGTGAAGCGTGTGTGTTCTTATATCCGATTTAAAGTAGCACAGGAGATAGGTACAAATCTAGAATAATCTCTTGGGTTTCAAATTCAGAATTGTCATACTAAATCATGTGACATGTTTCCACTTCTATATCCCATATCAAAGTTATGGAGAGATTCATGATACCTCAATCCAGGCAATTTTGGCATTTACCTTCAGAAAAGTTGAGGAGATATTTAGCAAGCTAAAGTGGTTAAAGATATGATAATTGAATGCAATGCATGATCTTGAATTCAGTCCTGAATTGGAAAAAATGCTAAAAATTATAATGTTGAGGCAATTTGTAAAATTTGAACATGGACTCTACATTTTATAATAATATTGTATCAATTTCAAATTTCCTGACATTGATCATTGTGGTGTTGTAATGCAATATAATCTCCTAGATATTAGGACATTCATAATGAAGATTTCAGGAATAAAGCATCTGCATATTTGCAATTTACCCTTAAATGGTTAGCAATAATAGTAATAACTTAATTACCATTATTATTTTTCCTGTTGTTATTATTGTTGTTATGTACTATAGTAATAATAGTATATGCAGTGGATGCTGTGGTGTCTTCTGGGTCAAGGCTGTCTTCTACCACCTGCTAAGAACATCAGCTGCCAACTCACACAGCTACATAACTCACTGGAAAATGTACTCAACTTTAGGGAAATGGCTTGTGCAAAATTAGATCCCTGCTCAGGAAACAACCCTTGGCCAATGACTGGTTAATGTAGTGATAAAAAATGTTCTGGCCTTCCTCCCTCAATTTATGACAATGCTGAAGTATCATCTAGCTTTAGAGCTCCTTATAAAATTGACTGAGGCTTCTGTTGCCATGGGATTATGGGTCACGTTACCTCTCTACCTAGTCCTTCCTTCCACAATTGCCTCACAGGAAAATCTTCCTAAGAGCATCTCCTTAAAGTATGCCTTAATAAATCTGCTCATAATTAACCTTGTAAGAGTCTGTTTCCTAGGAACTATCTCGAAGACAATTTGTACCAGGTGTGGTCCTTGGAAGCAAATGTTAAACAGGAATTTGAGGAATATGTTACCTGCTGGCCAGCAGGCGAAAAGATCCAGACACTGATAATAGGTAGAGTATGGTTACTTCCTGACATACGCTGGAGTGGTACATTTGTTAAAATATTCACCAATGATGGACATAAACGTGATACTGGTATAAAAGAACCCTCTGGCAGGTGAAATATCTCTGATGTTTAAGTGGTGTAAAGAAAAAATTCCATAAATATAGAATTGAATGGCTGCTGCTATGCATCAACTATTCCTGGAAGAGAGATAATATCAGTCTGAAAGAGATTAATCACCATTTCAAGGCAAAACCTGAAAGTCAGAGGATATCCTTGGAAGTATTTAATGAGACCTTAATCTGCTGCCCCCCAAAAATAGACAAAGCAGAGGAACAGGCTCTAAACTGAATTCTGTGAGTCATGGAGCTTCTGAGAGTGTAGACTTCTCAGCCTCAACAAGTGTCTTATGTCAAAGTCAGGGCCCTCGTAGAAATTATATGGGTTCTGGATGAACTTGAATATAGTTCCACTCCCCTATGTTAGAAATTACTGCACACCTTGTCACCCTTTAAGGGCATGAAAAAGCAATGAAAAGGAAATCTGCCTCTCTCATCAACCTCCCTTGTCACCTCTCTTCCTGGAAAGCACACAAGAACAAGGGTGAAATTCCAGTGTAACTTGTGTGGAGATGTGCTAAGCTTGATAGGTGCAGAGAAGAACTATATGTGGAAGCAGGTGGCTGGTATGTACTGGAAGGAGCAAGGATAATGCGTATGGAACTGGATGCTGAGGGTTCTAGATTAAAGGAGCAGAAAATAGAGTTGGTTAATGGACGATGTATAGATATGTAAGTTCTTTCTCATGATACAGGATTTTAACACCATAGCAAGGACTCCAAGTGAAGGCATTAACATGCTTTGGAGATGGCTCTTGGAATCTTGGGAAAAGTGAAGGACCACACTAAACAAAGTGAAAATACCTGAAATGCTGTGACAGACAGTGAGGCAGATGATTAAAAAGCTCAGAGAAGTGGACATGCTAGATGAATATCTTTAATGTTGGAAAACTTATAAGATGACCATGATTCAAAAGAAAGCCTGAAGTATCTTCAATTGACTAAAGTGATAAAGAATGTACTGGAAAAATAAACAAGGATATCACTGAGAAATTCAGTATTTGCCATCTTCTTTGGGCAGGGCTGATGGTAGAAGATTCTGTTACAGAACTCACTTCTCTGATAGCAATGATGAAGATAGGAATACAAAACATCAGAGGCAAGTTTGAGGTCCTCACCTGTTACAAGTGGGCACAATTATTGCAATAAATGTCAACATCAGAGTGGCTTCCAAGACAGCTAAGAAGATGTTTAATAAAATATGATAGTCCTAGTCTGAAGATAGATAGATAGCCCATGAGATTATTGGTAAATATATGCAATCGAAAGAAATCCAAAATGGATTATTAGGAGTCTGAGGGCAGTTGTCCATCCAAAAATTCACAGTCCTTTGTGACTTTTCTGGAGCTGAACCAATTCTCAAAATGATACTCACTGCTGAGGGAGATACTGTGTCCATATGTGAAGTAGTCCGTCCTGAAGCACCCTAATAAGTGTATTCATTAGCAATTTCCCCAGTCTTTCCCTAAGGTTAGCTGTTATCATGTAGTAAGGTAGTTATACATTGGGGAAAGGGGATGCCAAAATCTTTCAAGGATGATTGGATATAGGATAGTAGACAGGGACCCAAAGTGCCAAGATTGGACTAATCTGTATTAGTTATTTATTGCTGCCAATGAAATCACCAAAAACTCAATGACTTAAATCAATAATATTAATTTATCTTATGGTTTCTGTGGGTTAGGTATTCACAAGTAGCTCAGGTAGGTGGTTTGGCTCAGGGTTTACTATGAGGTTGCAGTTAAGAGGTTAGCTGGGGGTCACGTTATTTCAAGACATTACTGGATCTGGACAATTCACTTCTTAGTGGTGACTGTATTAGTCTATTCTGTCTGTTATAACAAAAAATCCCTAGACTAGATGGCTTAAATACCAAATTTCATTTCTCCCAGTCCTAGAAGCTAGGAAGTCTAAAATCAAGTCACCAGTAGATCCAGTCTGTTGAGGGCTGGCTTTCTGGCATGTAGAGAGCCACCTTTTTGCTGTGTCCTTACATAGCAGAGAGACAGAGAGAAAGAGAGACAGAGACAGAGACAGAGAGAGCATGAACAAGCTCTCTTGTGTGCCTCTTCTTCTAAGGGCACTCATCTCATCATGGGGGCTTAACCCTCATGATCTAATTGCTTCCCAAAGGCCCCACGTCCAAATATTATACTATTGGGAGTTATGGTTTCAACATATGAATTTTAGGGAGGGCGTACCCAAACATGGAGTCCATACAGTGACTAACTCACATGACTAGTAAGTTAGTGCTAAGTGTTGGTGGGAGGCCTCAAACATTTCCCTGGTGGATCTATTCCAGGACTGCTTAAATGACCTTAAAACATACTGGCTGGCTTTACTCAGAGAGGGGGATCCAAGTTGCCAAGGTGGAAGTGGCAATGTCTTTTGTGATTCAACCTCAGAAGACACACATCGTCACTTCCACCATATTTTATTTGTTAGATGCAATTCACTAAATTGAACCCCTATTCAAAGGAGAGAAATTAGGCTGTACTTTTTGAAGGGAAGAATGTCAAGTAGTATGTGGACATATTTAAAAACTGCCACAGCCCTTTTAGTATGGGGCACGGTGAGAGCTAGGTAATAAATGGAGTCCATAGACTCAATTGGTGGTCATTTTCCTGGTCTCAAAATATATAACTGAAATGAACTTACTTTGTAGTAGGGACACCCCTCATATTAGTTCCATGATTTGTGAAGTAAAATCTGTTTTATTGAGAGGGTGCCAAGTAGGCACCTATGATATAATCAACCTATCAGCCAATACAACCAATCAAAAATAATACCTCATCCCAGAAAAAATGGCAGAAATTAGTGGCACATTCAAATACAATTTAATTAACATAGCACATACAACAAGGAACGATTCATGAACTTAAGCAAGTAGGAAATTAAGTTGCAGCTCTGGGACTGGACATGGCATTTTTGCTAGAGAAAATTAGCATGGATTCTAATGTGTGTTATGTGGTTCCTGCTTCCAAAAATGCATTTTTACCATTCCTATCACAAAGGCAAATCAGAAACAGTTCATATTCAGTTGGGGCTGGAATGAATATATATTAACAATCTTGCCCCAGAGGTTGGGTTAACCAGAATTCCCTGGTTTAATTTAAGTAATGATACTTAAACTGAAGTGACTTGGAACATTTGAACATTGTGCAAATCATTGCATTAGTCTAATGTGTTAGGTATTATTTGCCCCCAGGTACCACAGATTCATCTCGAATACATCATTCCACTACCTTTTGTTATGACAGTAGTTTCTGGTTGATGATATCCATGATAGGAACATTGGGTTCCATGGTTATGTGATCATGGTGTACCTAATTTGCTGTACCATGGGTTCCTTGGTTAAAGGTTAAGTTATTTGATATATCATACCTGGAAATAATATACCTTATAAATCCTCATAGTAGTGATAGCTTAAGTCCTGCAGGTAGATAAAGTAAAACCATAGTTGTGGTGAAGGTCTTCATTCCCAGAGGGTATTTCCAACATAAGACACAATAAGAGTTTCATTGAACTTTTTGCTATGGCTCCTGTTTGAAGATTTTTGGCTCCTTCTGCTAAAAGAGCAGTGGGCAAAGAAGGTAGCCACCATACTGGCAAGGGTAATTACCCTGAAATTAGGAGGAGACAGGTTGCTGTTACAACAATACTTGTAGGAAATAATAAGTTGAGTGCTTAGGCGATTCACTGGAGATCTCTTGTGTTTCCATGCCCAATTTTAACTATAAAAGTGCAATAAGGATGGTCTGGGAATGGTGTAATAATGAGTGGTTCAAACCCGGTCCCCAATCCCCACCACCAGTAGATAGGGGTCTAGGTGATCAAATCAGGCAAGCCTTCTCATCCAGCGGAATTGCCTGTGAGGGTGAGGAAAATGTAGAACAAATAGTGGAAGGGGAAGACATGTATTAGTTATGGATTCAGGACCAACAATAACAGTGAAGGATGTAGTTTAGCCCACTAATCATCCTCTTATAAATTTATCCAGGAATAGTGACTATATGGACAGCTATACCTAGAAGGAGTCAATTTGAATTGAAAAACAAATGGATCTGTGCAGTACCAGTGTCAAAGGGTAGAGTCTGGTAGATGCCATTTGGTGCCCTACCAGAGCCAATTTCCTAGATTAGTACACCTCAGCTGCTGTGAATGTTGGCTCCCAATTAATGTCTTACACCTGCAAGCTTTGCTTGAGGATTGTTCTGGGCTGGTGGGAGCTCATCTTTCCTTTGAAAGGTTATGCCTCTCCATTACCTTCTCCCCTTTGTAAATAGCCAACGATTAACTGATATAAAGATACATAAAGCTGGCCTCCTTCCTTCAAGGCAGGCCACCCATTTGGTATGATTTATGTCCCAGAGATACCTCATCACTCCACTTCAGCAGATCTGGCTGAGCCAAGATTTCTAGGCAATACTGTATCCTTGATGGGTTGTTTCTTTTTCATTATCCTGCTTGTTTAACTTCTCTTACAGGTCTTTCCTCAAGAGCACACCTTCAGTAAAACACATACATCTGAGACCCTGCCTCAGCCTATGCTTCTGAGGAATGCAAACTAAGACCCTGATAGGCATTTAATATTTTTGCTTCTTGGTTTGTTTATTTTGTCAAAGCACATGAATGAATGAATAAATGAATTTGACATACCACTAAAAGAATGTAAAAAGAAACACAATGAATGCAAATATGACATAAAAACTGCTTTATTTTTAGCTGTAGAAAAATGCAAGTTGAAACAAGTCCATTAGGTAATATCTTCAAGAAAAGTATAAAGAATTTTTAATCTGATTGAAAAGGGCAAGAATTGGAATGGCAAAATTGTGAGTCTAGGAAATTAAGTTCTATTTAATTAGTGCAGAAAAAGGGGTGCATGTTTTATTCAATAGTGCACTGGGGCACTATTATTACTTTATAAATATTAATCATTAGACAGGATAACCAAAGATATTTTAAATGATTTATAATAAAACTATACATTTGATGACTCTTTGGTCACATTATTAAGTTTAAAGCATCATATGTAAGTGATTACAGTTCCTTGTTAATTTGGATTATTTTTCTTTACTTTTAACTATTTTTTAAGAAACGTTAAATTTTAGAGCTTCAAGGGACCTTAGAAGTCATATAAACCTACCCCATAATTTTACAGATAAGAAAAAAAACTAGAAAGATCATTTACTATTAAATTTACATAAATGTCATGTAATCCGTTATCCTTATATTTTCATATTATTTGAACAATTTGTCTCATGTGATTTACATATAAAATATTTTTTTAACAACCAGATATTCAAACTACACATATCCTGTCTATGGTAATTCACTATTTAATATACTCTAAGAGCTTTCAAAGACTCTTTTTCAATAACAAGTATATTGGCTTTTTCAGATCATTGATTACATAACAATGTACTGTTAGGTAGTTGTTTCTCTCACTGAAGATCAGGCCAAAGGTGGGCCTTTCTTCAAAGAAAGATGATGCCTAGGTCAGGGTGTTATTTTGTTTTAGAATGGTAAGAGCAATTGCTCATTGAATCTTTCATCAAATTTTCCACAAGGCGTACAATCAAGAATAAACAACTCTTAGAAATTTTAACTTGTAAATATAAGTATATATTTCCCGTCAGCCCTGTTGTATCTCTAGGTCTGAGTGTTAGAATTATGCTAATTAACTAATTGTCTACCAAACACAAGCTCTGAATTATCACATAATAAATAATTTCTAGGCCTTGATTCCTGTGCTAGACTGTTGATCTATAGAGATAATTAAACACATCGTTGTGTTTACTCAGAAGACAATACATTGTTTTGTCTACTTTTTAAAATTCATTTTTATTTCTTACATATATCAGGCACTCAGAAAGTGATGCAAAATATTGTGTTGTAAATTAAGGACATAACATATTTCACAGAATACCTGGCAAAATAGATATGAGCATATTCAAGGCAGTAATGAGGATAAAAGAACTCTTCAAAAGTAAAAACATAAAATAATTTAAAAAGAAGATAAAAGAATATTTCCATCTTGCAGACCTCTTTTGAGTAGTAAAATTAGCTTCTTTGTAGGTAACAACTAACAGCTCAAACAATGGTTAAGTTTGATTTGATTATGAGACAGCCAGGTGGGAAGTGCTCCCTGGCAGAACCTCCAACCGTCCTGCATGCTGGAAGAAATGTGCACTCAGGTAGAGCCACAGAAGCTTGCAGCGGGAAGGAACCAGGGCCTCCTCTTCCTGGGTGGAACCTGGGATTCAGAGTGCAAGGTGGGAAGTACACTAGCAGGACTCTGGCTTTGCTGAAGTTCCCTGTTTCCCTTTTTTCCCCTTTTTGCCAAATAAATTCAACTTTTCTCACCCTTCAAAGTGTCTGTGAGCCTAATCTCTCATGACTGTGTGACAAGAACCCAGCTCTTAGCTGAACAAAGGAAAAAGTCCTGCAACAGCTTTGGTGCCCAGAAGCTAAAGCTTGAGAAGGGGTGGGTGAAATGGGGGATCAAAACCTCTCACTGTCACTTGTAAGCCTTTTCATCCTCAGACTTCTGAGGGTAGGGGAAACCCCTGTCGCTCCCAGGGGTCGGTGGCCTTTCCATGGCCTTTTCCTTCCTTTTTTGGGACAGACAGGCGAGTGGCAGCTCCTCGCTCCCCCTCTCCTCCTGGCTGGGGCTGGTGAACATCATGTGTCCCTGGCATCTTCCCTACCCTGGACAAGGGGTTCAGCTCTTTGGGACAGCAATTAAGTTTTTCTCCCTGGTGGAGGAACATTTGCATAAGAATAAGAGGTTCTTCCCCCATGCATCCTTTTTTCTTCTTCACCCCATCAGCAGTTAACTTTTAAATGGGTTTGTTTTCCTTTTGGAAGATGTTTTACTAAGCTAGGAATGATAAGGATCACTGTTTATATTCTCTGTAAAGTTTTGGTTGTGATAAGGGATCTTGTGGGGACTGGGTTTTCTCCCGTCTGTCTGTGTAGCTGTATATGTGTTGAGTGTGTAACGTCTATAAAAAGAGCTTTAATTAATTTGGCCTAAAGGAAGACAAGCACTTGGATCAAATATTTTTTAAAGGGAATATAAAAGCTGTAGTACTTTTCAGTTCACGTGACTTTAATCTTTCAGAAATAAAAACAGCTTTAAAGATTATTGGTAAAATGCAGATGCCATCAAAATGTAAACAGGTCAACTAAATTTTGCAGGTCAGATGCAAGGTTTGCTAAGTGTTTTAAGGTTATAAAGTGCTTTTTGGGTTTTGAGAACTATTTGACTTGCTGGTTTCACAGTTGGTACATACGGGGACATACAGAATTAACCACACCCTTAATTATGCTGAAAGGAGTCAAACCTTGGTCGCACTTAGCACACAATTAACACAACTTACCAGGTTTTACATTAACGTTAAAAATTGGTAGGAGTTACCATTATAGCATGTAATTGAAACTACTGGAAATAGATTTACACGTGAGGTGCGTAGGAATAGTAAAATGTGTTTTTTTAGTAAAAGATTATAAAAAGGCCTAAAGATATAAATTCTTGCCTATTATTAAAGGACTGTTTTAAATTAGATAAGATAAAGGTAAAAATTCAAACAACTGGTGGAAGGATTGTAAGAACTAATCTTGTAAAAGAAATTCTGTGTGTGAACACTGACTAAATTAAAGAGGTTATTATATGGTTTTTCTATAAATTGAACATTGAAATAAAAGCACAACAAGGTTTTCTTAAGGCACTAATCTGCTCTTATAACAAAATTTGTAAAAGGCTGTAAAAGGATTTTGCTTCTTTAAAATTTGAGTCATCATTTAGGCAAAATAAATAATTTATGGTAACCCGGAATTCTATTTCATAAATCAAGTGTTTTAAACCTTTAACATATGTAACAGGCTTCCCAAAATCAAACTTCAGTTTCAAAATTGTCTTTCTTGACACCTGGTTTTTTGGAGGCTCCAGAAGGGCCCCTGGAATGTCCAGAAAAGAGGCAAATAGGATTATTTGGCATGTTTAGGTACATGGGATTGCCAAAATGATGTTCAATCTTCTTTAGGTTATATTTTTGTGAATAATGGTAATATATGTTCCAAAATTTTATGGGATTTCTAAAATTCGAATGTCTGAGTATATACTATCAATCATAATTAAGGTTGTTAGTTTAAGTTATCGTAAACCACGGAGGTAATCAAACTTCTTTGTCAATTGTGTTTGTAACTGTAACTACCCTGGACATTTTGCTATTCACAGACAATTGTCTTGTTTAAATCTTTTTAAAAGGAAGGTTTATAATCAGCTATAGCACTTTGACAGGTGCTCTCAACTACAGGCTTCTGATAACTTTGGAGATTGTGACATTGAAATAAAGAAAAATGGACAGGACTCATGAAGAGCTGAAATGTTCACAAATATCAAGCAAAACAAGAGTTAACTAAGAGGACTGAACTCAGGAAACTAAAGCAAATCTTTTTGAGTTTTCTTGGAATATTGCTGATCCTTGTCTTTTTTTTTTTCAGAGTCAAGAAAACTTATTTTGAACCATTTGTGACCTTTAATAATTGAGTATGGTATACTCCTGTGAACCAAATTTGGTGCATGTTTGTGTCTCTCTGCCCAGTTCCTCTAGAATTTGAAAACTATCTGAGTATTCATAACTTATAGCAATATAGTTGTTTGCATCAGTGCAATAAGAATCTATTTTTCTTTTGCAACAGAATGTAATTAGAGAAACTGCTTACTTTGCCAAGGCTTTGACTGGAAGGGTATGCTTCCCTTTAAGGGGTCAGTCTTGACTTGCAGAGCTGATAAAAGCCCCTTGGGGAGACTGGCCTCATACCCTTACCTATGCAATCCCTGTATAGGGTTCTGACTTGTGCTTAGTAGAGAATGTCACTTTCTCAGAGGTCCAGGAGCTCCAACTTTATCTCGGGACCTTAAGAGGAGAGGATCACCCAACTCACAGGTATCTGAGTATATATCCATGACTGGGCTCAGCCTTAAAAGGTCTTATCTGAGAATCCTTGTGGAACAGAGTTCCTTCAAAGACAATCCAAAAGGCCTATGTAGAAATAATTATTCGTGCTGCAATTTATACAAATAATCAGGTCAAGTGTTTAAGACTAACGTCTATTTTGCAAACCACTCAGTCTTATGATGATTTGTTTTCTTTTGACAAAAATGAGCACTGGAGAGAGATAAGTTATGTTTCAAAAGTTATCATACATTTTTCATTAAATTCTAGACTCATTAGTTGCTTTTAAGTTTTTGCCTACATTTTTAGACTAGCCCTGCTTGTTCTTGTGAACCAACCAGCAATCTCTGGGTGCAGCTCAGAAAGAACACGGGAGATGGGTAATGTAAACATCTGGATCAATATTCTAGTTTTGAGCAATTATCCCGCAAATGCTGCCAGGTGATGACAATAAATAGGGTGCCAATCACTCAGAGGTTTCCTTTTTGGGAAAGTAAGGCCAAGGGAGCTAACCAAAGCCAAGTACCATGCACCCAAATCGTAGCGAGCATAAATATAGCCACCAGTTATCTGGGTGTGTCACAAGACACCCTTTTCTCTCCCTTGTTGGAGGATGTCTCAATTCCACAGCTTCGCCTTAGCGTTTGTCTTATGATAAGGAGTCCAGGCAACCCCTGCCAAGACACATTTTTGTCCCAAACTCAATTCTAAGCTTCAGGTCAAAGCCCTAGGAAGGAAAACTTGATCTAAGGCATCCAGAGGCAAACAATAACAGAGGAAAAAAGGCACAGTGCAAGTGAACGTGGCTAATTCCTGCCTATTAAGCCAAGCCTCCTCTTTCATGGATAAAGGTTATGCTAGTATCCATGGCATAAATGAGGTCTAGGGAACACCAAGGCTACTGACAGTAGGTGGGATAGAGACATAGGTGAGAGTGGATAATTTCTATTTTCCAGGCCCTCCCTGCTTCATAGGTGCAAGCCACTTTGGCATCCATGGTGGCACCTGCCAAGGTCTCCAGGACTCAGAGTTACAAGGATGAAAGACGGAAACAGGATGCTCTTCCTTCTCTCCCCCACGTACTCTGGGTATCTGCTAGGAAGAGAAGGGAACCAGGGATGCCTGCTCCCCTCTTTCTAGATGGGTAGCCATTCATCTTCAGTCTGTACCCATTTCAAATGCATCCTGAACTCCCGGGACTCCTTTGAAAAAATGCCTTCTTTTTCCTTTCTCTTCCTCTGTCCTCTCTTCACTGATAGGTAATTATGTCTTCATACTACAGGACAATCACCTGAGATGCATCCTCCAAACTGACAAAAGTTTATTTTCCAAACTTTAAACTGGTTGGCTTAGGATTGGGCTCAGGGTAAAGTAACTCAGAAACCCAACATACCAGCAAAACGGAAAAGTTTATTACGAGTTGGGCTTTTGGCCTCCCTCTACCTGTGCAAAGTCATAAAAGGCCTTGGGATTTTTGAGCTTTCCTTACCCCTCCCCTTGTTTCATTTTGATAAATGTTTTCTAATAACCCAGTTTGTCTCTTCTTGCCTTCATGCCCTCAAACTTCAAACAGTCATGCAACTGGAGCCTTGGAGTATTGCCCTTTCTGCTAGGGACCCTTAGATAGGCCTCTGAGGGAGATCTGATTGCCATTTTCCCTCAAAACAGCACCCCCTATCAGTAGGAAGCAGTTAAGATCAGTCTTCACCCTTACTCCTATGCTTATTCTAACAGGAGTTAGATGTACTTCTTTAGAGGGGGGAACGAGGCAGTCAAGTGGGAATGGCTCCCTGGCAGAACCTCTGACTGACCTGCCCACTGGGAGGAATGTGCACTCAGGTGGAGCCACAGAAGTGTGCAGTGGGGAGGAGCCTGGCCCCTCCTCTTCCGGGGTCTAACCTGGGATTCAATCTGTGAGGCAGGAAGCACGCTAACAGGACTGTGGCTTAGTGGAACATTCCTGTTTTTCCTTTTTGCCCTTTTTGCCCAAATAATTCCATTTTTTTCACCATTCAAAGTGTCTGCGAGCCTAATCTCTCATGGCCATGTGACAAGGACCTGGCTCTTAGCTGAAAAAGGAAAACGTCCTACAAATTAGAAATACATTTATTGGAGATATTGGTTAACATACTGAATTTAGAGACCTAGTCTGTGAAAGACTGGTAACTCAGATACATTTTAACTCTCGATAGTTTTATTCACACACTACAGTAAGGCAGCACATAGTTCTAGTTCAAAAACCTCAAGGACAACATTTAGGGTTGAGTAACTTGTGTGTTACCAATCACTTGATTGTTCATAAAATGATATCTTCCAGATACTTTTTTAGGACCCAACTTGCATAATTACAGTTGGTGATCTTGTAAGTCACAACAGTTTGACACTGTTGAGGTAGGGTGACTAAAATTATAAATTGAACGGAGAGATTTTTCTAATGAGAAAAGGCAAAAAGCAACTCTAGAACGCTAAAATCTGAGAATGATTTGATTTAGAAAATCATCAGAGTTGTGGCTAGAATAACAAAATGGATATTAGCCACCAAATTTCAGAACATTTAAAATAGATGTTAGACCATGAAGATAAATGTTCACTTAAGACAAATAGAGAGTAGATAGGATCAAGCAAAAGTGATATACATGTCCAGTGGAATTATTATGAAAGATTTAATAATTTTTCTAGTTTATAATTTATTACTGTGGAAGAAAATTATTACTCTTACACTCTTGTCTTTGGAGTCTATACTAGAGTCAAACCTCTTGCTAATATGGAAATTCTTGTATTTATTGAATATTTCAAATTATAATTGAGAAGTAATGCCAGTAAGGGTTATCTAGTTTAAAATTTCCCAATAATGTTGTAAACTATATGTTAGGGAAAGAGCATTTTCAATTTGGGGAATGAAAAATCTGCTTGAGCTAGACTTAGACCTTGTTAAATGAGTATGATTTAAAATGTCAGAGAAAATAAGGGTGTAGGACATTTTACAGAAAAAAAAAGCAAAAGCAAACACAAAACAATAATTGTCTATGTAAAGAATTGCTCTAGTTTCAATAAAGGAAAATGTGTATTTTAATTAATCTAATATATATTTATGTATATGTTTATATAAATTGTATATGTATTTCAGATAGTAATATTTGGGGGGAAATGACAAAAGTACATGTTGATTTAAAAACTACTATATTTCTTCTATGTTTTTAGAGATTGAAGTTCAACTATTCTTTTTTTTTTTTCTTTTGAGATGGGATCTTACTCTGTTGCCCAAGCTCAGTGCAGTGGCATGATCATAGTTTGTTGCAGCCTCAACCTCCCAGGCTCAAGCAATTCTCCTGGCTTAGCCTCCTGAGTAGCTGGGACTACAGGCATGCACCACCATGCAGCACCACCAGCTAATTTTTGATGTTTTTGTAGAGACAAGGTCTCACTATGTTGCCCAGGCTGGTTTCAAACCCCTGGACTCAAGCAATCCTCCTGCGTCAGCCTCCCAAAGTGTTGGGATTACAGGTGTAAGCCACTGCATCCAGTCCTCAACTATTCCATAATTTTGTTAAAGACATAAAGCTAAATCTTTTAATAAATATTTTCTTTATATAATGTAAATGTAAATCAGCAATGCTATTTTGTATGTCATGACATTGAGTTGTCAGACAAATCTTACTAATTATGTTGAAGACTCTACTTTATGACCATCTTGCAAGTTCAGTGAAACAAAACCTGGAGACTGAAACAAGAATTAAAAGAAGAGGAGAAATAAACTGCTGTAATTCCCTGAGCCAATAGAGAGACAACACAGCTAACTTCTCTCTCAAATGTTTGAAAGCTCCTGAAGGGAAAAGAGGAGAAATCTAGGTAGAGCTCCAGAGTGTGGAATTAGCAAGAGTCCAAGGACCCTCAAGAATTCTCTGAAAGGAGAGTCATAAAGATGTGAATAATCACACAGTGTATCTTCTAACACGGGAAAGGGTTCGATGGGAGAAAGTGTCCCTCAGGAAGAACAGCAATTTCTTTAACTCCGCTGCATGGAAATAAGGAATCCAAGTTTACTTCAGCTTGTGAGGAAGAATGGGTTATATTCAATAGTAGACTAGGTGAATCAATCCTTCTGTCTGATCAACTACGACCTTCTATCCATTACACAAATCCTAAAAGTGATGTCCATTATGGCACAGGAATATGTGCACCTGAAAAAGTCAGTTCTAGGGTAGAAAAACATCCAGTTAAAAGCTGCCAGAGGTGTGCACCTACTTAGAGAAGAAGACTTGAAGACTTCTTTGTTGGGGAGAAAATATTTGATTTATACAAATGTAAGGCAAATATTGTATTCTGAAATAGTGAGGATCCAGGCAATAGAGTGTGCTCTTCTGCAAAATAATTTGTAATAGCTCTCAAATTTGGCATGAGTGAGAATCACGTGGAAAATTTGTCAAAAATACTGGCACCTGGCATTCTGATTCATTAGACAGGAATTGACATCAGACATCTGAATTTAAAAACAGAAAAGCCTGCTCTGATGATTCAAATTCATGTCAACATCTAAGAAAAAAAATCCCAATATATTTTTTCTTCATTATTTGCAAAGGGAGGTTTTCTAAAGCCTTGCAATTATATTTCCATTTTGAAATATAAGTGATATTTTTTCCTTCGTTCTTGTCTAAGGTTTGAACTGAAGACTTCTCTTTCATATGGCAGAAGCAAATGATTTCTATAGTGCTGTGTCAAACCAAAAGTTAATGTTAAAGAGATGTATTTAGGAAATGTGTGGAATCCCTTGCTCTATGTATTTGAGAAGGAATCACACCAAATATATAGTTTTAACTTATCCCCATTGTTTGTGGTAGTGGTGGTGGTGTTGATATCCCCGAGCATTCAATAAGGTTTTAGATACTGTTGCATTTTATAGCTCTGCTCTGAGAAATAAAAATATGGACTTGTGTCCATGGATGGAGAAAAGTTATAGGATAGGTGTCATAACAGACCAGGGAAAACCAGTATGAAGGAAAGAAGTAATATGAAAAATAGAGAAAGAGGAGTCCAAAAAATGAGCTAAAGTGACGATCCAAAATCAGGATGTTTTTGTGGAACATGCAATACTTTTGAGATACCTAGAAAAATACTGCAAAGAGAATTTGGGAAAAGCCTGGAATTCCAGTCAAGTGGCATGAGGACTCAGCTACAATTTGGGCATTCCATGGTGCTATGAATCTTGAAGCCTGGAAAAATCAGGAAAACCTGCATAACATTTCTAATGCCTCCATTTCATGCTAATCAGTGAAGGCCAGATATAAATTGAGTAAAGAAGTAAAGAAAATGTCACAACTTTCATTTAGGGTGTCATCAATCCCATAATGAATAAACTTGAACTTTTGGGAAATGCATGTGGCTTTTGGAATCACTATATCCATATGACCTCACATTTCCTCAGCCTGACCACCAGTAACATAACTCCAGCTGCTTTAGTGTTTGGGAGGTGACAATCCAAATCAATGTTAAGTGTAAAAGTATAGCAATAACTGGCTTAAGTTCAACCACTCAACTGGCTCTTTTTCCAAAGCAGAAGGATACTCTCTCTGCCTCTATTGAAATGTTGACATGGGCCTTTTTCATATACCATTGAAAGGAAATACAAGAAAATAATATGACTTTCAAATGCAAAACTAACGTCAGCACGGCAAACCAGAGTGATTTCACAGATTTATATTTTTTAGGAAAATCAGTTTTCTAATTTTGTCAGTTTATAAGACACTGGCATTGTTAAAATGATATTCTTAGTCACCATTGAACATAATGCTTCCCATGTAGGAGAACATAGTTCCAATCCTCAGGTAATTATCAAATAACTACTTCAAGGAATATTCAATATGATTCCACATATGTACACATATAATAATTAGAGTAAGGTATTTGTGGTTGCCTGAAATTATTATAATGAGATATATTTCAGGATTTCCCCAAATCAAATGTGCTTGTTTAACTGCAGTAGAACTGAGGATTATATTTTTGGAAACTTTTCTCCTATTGAGCACTCTCCACCCTTCGTTATCTTTGACCTTTTCTAGTATCATAGTTGTACCCTGATCTCAGATGTATACCTCTAGCTTAGACTTTGGACCTTTCTCATGAACACCAGTCTTATGTATTCAACTGACTCTTCAACATCTACATTTGGATAATGGGCATTTTTAAATCAACAAGTACAAAATAGAGGTCTTGATCTTCCCCCTTCTAAACTGATTCTTTCACAGTCCTTCCATATCCGTTAATAGCAACTTCACATTAAGTTATTTAGCCTTAAAATCTTGGAGTCATCCTTGACTCCTACTTATGACTGTTTACAGCCTGTCAGTAAATCCTGTTGCCATTCCTGGACTGAGCCACCATCATTCTGGACCATGTATATTGCCTCCAAAGAGTATGTATATATGTGTTTATGTTCAAATCATATAACCAGTATCTATGATGATATATATTTTCCATATTTTTAAATCAGTTTGTACCAGCAACCAGTTGCCTACAGCCAGTTACATTGTTATTCAAATTGCATGGAACACCCTAAGAAGATGATCTGTTCTATTTCATCTAACATTCAAATTTTATGTAACCAGATAGAAGGATTCTAGATTCTATATTATATGATATTTATATTGTATAACACCACATAAAAATTGAGGAAAAGTAATTTAAGTAGTTACTTTTACTTCTTCTACAATTTACTCTCAGTACGGAGTTATCCTGTTGAAACCTTAAAAGCAAGTGAAATCTCTGCTTAAAAGCCTACTCGTAGCTTTAATCTCACTCAGAATAAAAGACTAAGGCCTTACAAGGATTTTACACGGCTTTCACAGTTTACAGCCTATATGTCTTTTACCTCATTTTGTATCACTCTCTCCCTTACATACCTTTTTTCCAGCCACACTGGTTTCCTTGCTGAATTCTGTCAAACCAGGATGTTCTAACCCCCAGGCTTCTATACTTTTAGTGTTCTCTGTCATGAACTCGCTCTGCTTAGTTATAAAACGGTTTGTTTCCTCATTTCCTTCGGATTTTGCTGAAATATCACCTCCAGAAGGTTTCTCTGATCACCCTATTCTAAATTTAATACCTCTTCTATTTCTTCTTGTTTTCTTGTTCACTGTAGCACATTCTATATTTTACTTACATGTTTTATTTGCTATGTTGTCTTCACAGAAATGCAAGCTCCTCATGAATTTGTGCTTGATTTTTTCATTGCTGTAACCCTCTATTTTAATTGCCCCTGGCACATATTTGTGGCTTAAAAAATAAATATTTGTTGCTGAGTCAATTAATGAATTCAGTGTTGAGCAATATTTTTCTGTATACCACTGCCTTGACTGCTGTGAAAATCTTATAAAAGGATCCAAGTAATTAGTTGAAAATGTACGATTACCACATTATGTTTTGTTCCTTTCTTTTGGGTTTCCTATTGGGTAAATCTAGTTTCTGTTTGTAATGATGTTTTATTCATTTGAAACAATATTCCTTCCCAATTTTTAATGGAATGTAAACTTCATGAAGATGCATCAGCAATTTTATTTCCCATTTTGAAATTTCTTTCTCATATTACACAAAATTGTACAATTTGACACTGTTAGGAATTTTATAGAGCTGTCTAGGCTGATTTGAAGTGATTTTCCCTCATCACTCCTTGACTACACCGTTTAATTCACATGACAAATTGAACAAAAGAGCACATAGAGTTACAACCTGTAGATCTTTAATTAGTGTCTTCATTATCCAGAGGCACACATTTATAATCCTCTAGAGTCCTTGCTGTGATGCATAGAAGATGGCTGGCTAAATCTGATGAGTTAATATACTCAGATACTGTTATTTTCCTCTAAACTTATTTTTTTACCCCCAAAATAAGACAGTATTTTGTACATTTTACTTCTTGATATAAAGACAGGAGGATATGTGTAAGCAGAATATAACTGCTTACCTTCAATAAAACAATTCTAATATGTTTTCAGGTTTCAGTACAGAAACATTGTTAATACATAATATAATTATGGCATCAGACCATTGATTCTGGGAGGTTTCATTTGTTCATGCTTAAAATTACAGTTGCACAGACAATCCTAGTACTATTCAATCATTTGCAGTTATTTTTCTATATTTCTGTGTTTATATATTCATTTTAATATTTTATTTATTCTGATATCTATACACATTAACATTTAGACCATTCAGCTGACTTTTTAAAAACAATGAAACAGATGTCATTTAATTTTTTTACCGATATTTCCATGAAGGTTTCAGTATTGCTCTTTTGTCTGAATTTTTGTTATAAATATGAAAATATGTTTCCCATGAGTAGATATTATTTTGTAAAAAAAACAGTAAACTAATTTATGAACTCTTATATATAACAAAATCAAACAATTTTATGGACTGTAATGTTTTCTCCATTTCTACTACATTTTTGTGTGCTTTATACGTTTCTATTATAGCACTTACCTAAATTACGTATTCATTTGCATGTCTTTCTCTTGTATCTATAGACTTGTGCCTAGGATTCTGCTTGATCTTAAAACTTACTCATGAAGGTTTTTAAATAAATGGTATTATCATCATGGGTGAATGTATGATGAATCTACTTTGTGCTAAATAGTTTTCTTTGTAAATCTTTTGCTAGTTTTTACAATTTATAGAGTATTTTTCTTTTTGAGGGATATACACTTATTTGGTCTTCTTGGTTTCCAGATTCAAACTGGAAATATGTTCATAATTTCTTTAATTCTATTTTATAGTCATCAAGGAAAATGGGGGTGTTCATTTTATGTATTAGTTTGTTTCCTATTAGTAAATTGTAGTAATTTCTCTTATTTATACATCTAGAACATTTCTCTTGTTGTTGGTTAAATGTACTAGATCCTCACCAAACTGCTCTAACATAATAATACCTTTCTCTTGTGCCAAACATATACTGTATTCATTTTCCCTTTCCTATTTGTAGAGGCTTCATTCTCTTTTTCACTATTGTGGTAAGGACGCTTAACATGAAATATATTTTTTAAAAAAACTTTTAAGTGTACAATAGAGTATTGTTAACTACAGGTACAATAGTTTTTTTTCTTTTTTGACCTGAAACATAGTACAGAGTTAGTACACATCTTGCCACAATCTATTTTATTGTATTGGCCCATAGTGGAAGTTTTGATTCATGTAATAAAATACATTTTAAAATTGCAGTAAAAGATCCAGGGTGTTAATCTTCTAGCTGGTAAAAACAATTACAAATTCTGCATTTGTTAATATTTTATTGGTTATTGCCACTTTTCCTTGAATTGAAAGGCCTAAAAGATAGATAAATTTTGCCAAATGCTTTATTTTGAGATGTAATTTTTAACCTCATGACTGAGGAGAGAGCTGAAATTTCTCACATAAGGTGCAGCACAAATTTGATTTATGTTCAGTATAATCTCTTATAACTCAGACTGGAAAGAAAATACACAGTTACGAATTTGTTAGTGCCTAGAGAAACAATATCTTTAAAGTCAACAGGAGTGGATAAAAAGAAAATATGTCCTTTGTTGATATTCCAGTAACTGACCACAATGTTAAATATATTCGATAGGCCAAATGTGTTTAAAATTTGATTTTGGAAAAGAACAGAAATAGACGATTTAACTATATAGAGTCTAAAAGTGCTTAAAAAGGTGTCCTTCGTTGCTTTCTGTTAAATAAAATCTTGGTGATTTATTGATGTCGTTACACCATGTTACACACTCAGCACTCCTCCTCCAATGTTCCCCAGAAAAACAAAATAAATGGCAAGGAAAAGAATCTGCTATTCTTTTTTGGCTTATCTTAGAGCCTAAACCCAAAGACAAAGAACCCTGGGTCAGGAGGAGTTAAATCTTAAGATCCTACTGCCTATAGATATGTACCTACTTTTTGCTTCTTCTGCTAATTCAATTTACTTCACAATAAAACTCACAATTGATCAGAGGTGTGGCTTATGCATTCCAGGGTGCCAATGACGACAGGGTAGATGATGATTCTATTTTCTACCTTAGACTTCTTTGAATCTGTGAATACTGAGTTCTAGATGAGATTTCTGCTTTGTGTCAGATGGGAAATCCAGTTGTTTCTTGTTCAAAGCCTGGTAATTCCCTCAACATTCCCCCACGCTCTGCTTATTTTGCTGTTCTAGTATTCCTCTACACTTTGCTTTGTGGGATTTCTCGTACTGAGAAATACAGAGACATAAATGTTGGGTTTGCTAAAGGTATCCCACAGATCATTTGTCTTCCAACAGTCAACTGGCTCAGTAGAGTAATTGCATCCACAATGTCTTATACCATTCTTACTCCAATCTCCAAACACATAGTGAGTTAATTAATTATGATATTGCCCATTAACACTTTAATAAACCTTATCTTCTCTGTGACCAACCTTAGAGTTATTACTTCCCTAGCATTTTCCTCATAGCATGGACTACTATCATCTGAAATTGCTCCAACACTTTCAAACTTTCAATTAATGCCTGAAGCATCTTGTACTGAATTTCCTTGTCTTACCTTCAAGTATATTCATAATTTCTTTAATTCCATTTTATAGTCATCAAGGAAAATGGGGGTGTTCGTTTTATGTTCTAGTTTGTCTCCTATTAGTAAATTTCAGTAATTGCACTTATTTATAAATCTAGAGCATTTCTCTGTTCTTGGTTAAATATACTAGCTCCTCACCAAACGTCTCTAACATAATAATACTTTTCTCTTGTGCCAAGGATATACTGTATTCATTTCCCCTTTCCTATATGTAGAGGCTTTGTTCTCTTTTTCATTATTGTGGTAAGGACACTTAACATGAAATCTATCCTCCTTTAAAACTTTTAAGTGTACAATAGAGTATTGTTAACTATAGGCACAATGTCATACAGTAGATCTCTATAACTTACTCATCTTGTATAACTGAAACTTTATACTCATTGAGGAACAACTTCCCATTTCTGCCTGGAAACCACCATTCTACTCTCTGTTTCCATGAATTTGACTATTTTAGATGCCTCATGTAAGTAGAATCATGCAGTCTTGTCTTTCTGTAACTGCTTCATTTTACTCAGTATAATGTTTTCCAGGTCCATTCATATTGTCACATATGGCAGGATTTCATTCCTTTTTTAAGACTGAATATTATTCCATTGTATGTATGTATCACATTTGATTTATCTATTGATGGGTATTTAGGTTGTTTCCATATCTTGGTTATTGGGCAAATTACTGGAACAGATATTTCTTCAAAGAAGACATACAAATGGCCAACAAGTATATGACAAGACACTCAACATCATTAATCATCAGGAAAATGAAAATCAAAATCACAGTGAAATATCACCTCAGACCTCTTAGGCTGGCTATTATATATATGAAAAAGATAGCTGTTGGCAAAGATGTGGAAAAAATGGAACCCTTGTACACTGTCGGTGGGAATGTAAAATTGTTTAGCCACTATGAAAAATAGTATGGAGATTCCCTGAAATTTTTTAAAATAGAAATACCATATGATCCAGTGAAACTACTTCTGGGTATATATCCAAAGAATTGAGATTAGAATTTCAGATATCTGCATTCCCATGTTTATTGAGGCCCGCTTCTAAGACCACAAATCTTCCACAAATAATCTACTTTCTTCCTTCAGCTCAAGCTATTTAGTAGTTTCCAGTTTCTACTTCTGAAGGGAAATTGTCCTTGGAGCAGCATTATTTCTCTTTATTTATTTATTTGAGACAGAGTTTCATTCTTGTTGTCCAGGCTGCAGTGCAATGACGCAATTTCAGCTCACTGCAACCTCCACCTCCTGGGTTCAAGGGATTCTCCTGCCTTAGCCTCCCGAGTAGCTATTACAGGCATGTGCCACCACGCCTGGCTAATTTTGTATTTTTAGTAGAGATGGGGTTTCTCCATGTTGGTCTGTCTGGTCTCGAACTCCCAACCTCAGGTGATTCGTTTGCCTTGGCCTCCCAAAGTGCTGGAATTACAGGCATGAGCCACCGCACCCAGACCTCTTTATTTAATATACTTTATAATCTCTCTAGAGAAAAAAGTGACAAACTATTTTCATGGTGACTTTATCTACCTGATAGCCAAAGCAACAAATTCCTGGAATATGTTCCCTTAGTAATGTTTTTCTGGAGAAATTTATGTTATTTAATTTCAGTTTTAAAATTTTATCTCCATTTTAATTTTTTTATTTTCCATTTCCAACCTTCTTTCCCATTCATAGGAAATACTTATAATGTGTTACATACACTTTTGTTTGTTTTCCTGAAAAACGTGCTTTATATTTTATGTGTAAGTAGTTTTAATATACAAAACTGTTATTGTATAATATATCTCATTCTGTTTTTTACTGGTTATCATGTATTGCATTATTGTTCAAAGCATTTGCTGCCCTTTGCTGTAGGAGGAGTATACTTCCCTTCTCCATTAATATCAGACTTGACTAGGGGACCTTGTTTGGCCGATGAAATGTGATAAGTGGCATGTGTCATTCTTTGGTTTGTTTGTTTTTTTCATATCTCGATCTCAACTAGACGTAAGATGTTTCATTGCCAGTTTGAAAGTAAAACGTTGTATTTCTCTTTGCTGCTTTCTTAAGACCAATCTCATGTATAATTAGCCCTATGGATAGTTTAAACCCACAAAATTCACATTTTCCTACAAAAATCACAAATGTTTTCCTAAACTTCCTGTTTCTTCATTCTTCATCATGTCTACTCCTATAATTTGGATATTGTCCATGATTATAGTTCCTCATTGTTGAGGATAAATGCTTTCAACAGTGTTAGATTTTAAAAAAAACAAAACAAAGCCCTTACCAATGTATTGTATAACTCTTATATTTAGCATCTTTTGCTGCAACTTTGAGATTTATTTATCCTCCTATCTAAGCAACTCCTCTAAATGTGTTTACAACTCTATTTCATTATTTCAAAAAATGGTGTTTTCAACACATTTGGGGTCTTTTTAAGAAAACTTTCTGAAGCATCTCTTACAATACCTGACTTTCGCATTTGAATGACAGTTTAGTTGGATATAAAATTCTGGTTACAAAATATTTTCCTTCAGTTAAAAAAATATTGTTCTGTTGTCTGCTAGAATCTCACATAGTGTTGAGAAGGCTCATTCTTATTTTGTATTTTTCTGTCTGAAAGTTTTGAACTTTTAATAATTTTTAATTTTATATCTTTTCTGTTTAACAATCCATGACATGAGTTATTTCATCTTTCTTTATTTCTAAGAGTTTTATTTTGACCATTACTTAAAAATTATCCTTCTGTCTGTTATTATTTTCTGCTCTATTGAAGACTATAAGTATCTGAATATTGATAATGCTATTCAAATTCCTCTTTTTCTCTTTTAGTCTAGCTTCTATTTTTGCATGATTTCTTGGTACTTTTGGAAAAATTCTTCATTCAGATCTTCCATTGTACTACATTTTCCATCTGTTTTTTTTTACACTACACGTGATCTAATCTATTTGGTTATTGCTTTTAATGATTATAATTTTCTTACCTGATTTTTATAATTTCTAAAAATATTTTTATGTGTATATTACTAATATATTATCATCTAAATCTAGCATTATCTGTTTATTTTTAATTACTTAACTGTTAGTTGGAATAATTCTGCTATTGATGTTGTATGCTGTTAACTTTGGATTTTCCTTCAAAATAAATATAAATGATGTTGGATGTTTTGCTTTTGAGTTAATGTTCCCCTTAAGATATCAGATAAATGCTTCATAAACAGATAAAGGAATATTCCCTAGGGAGATGCCAAAAACGAGAAATTAATTTTTGTTAATTCAATTTGGTCTAATTAGAGGAGAGTATAAAATTTCCAGGTAGAAAGGCTAATGAAAGGCAAATAAGCTAGACACAAAATAATACATATATATTCTTCCATTTAAATGAAAGTAAGAAATGGGCACACCAAGTTTATGATGGGAGAGGTCATTGCAGCTTTTGAAGTTAGCATCTTCTTTCAACTATTTTAGAATGTAAACTTTGTCAAAATTCAAGCAACCACATATAAAAAGATCTGTTCCTGGATTTTCTATTATATTGCACTGTTCTGTTTTTCTATCTTTATATAAATAACACACTGTTTTAATCACTGTAGCTGTGTAATAAATCTTGATATTTGACAGTGTTAGTGTGCCAGCTTTACTTTTATTTTTAAAATTGTCTTAGCTACTTTTGCCCTTTGCATTGAGATATATACATGTCAATATACATATATATAACATACTTCTTAATTTACACATATGTGCACACATTCACTTAACAAGTTGCTATAATTTTGACTGGTATTGAATTTACAGATGAACATTTAGGGATAATTACATCTTACCATAATACGTCTTCTAATTCTTGAACCTGGACTATTCCTCCACTTACTTAGGTCTTCCTCAATTATTTGAAATAGTGTTTTATATTTTTCGTCTTATAGACATTGCACATACTATTTTTAATTTATAAATATATATTGGTGTGGTTTATGCTACACTCGATATCCTTTTTAGCATTCCTTTTTCATTTGTCTGTTGCTGCTATGTAGAAATATAATTAAATACTATATATTGACATTGTGTCAGTGAACTTTCTAAGTTCACTAATTAATTTCAAATATTTGTACACTATTTTGAATTTTATGCATTCACAATTATGCCATCTTCAGTTAATGAGTATTTTGTTTCTTCCTTTCTAATTGCTAAAATTTTCATTCTAAATATACCTAATCAGACTGCCAGAACTATGCTGAATAGAAATAAATATAAAATATATCTTCTTGTTTTTGTTCTTCAAGGAAAACAATTCAGCTTAATTTCATTACATATGATATATGCTTTAGTTTTCCCAAGTAACTTTTTTCAAAATAAAAAAATTGTTTTGTCAAAAAAAATTGTTTTGTTCTTCGTTTGCCAATAGATTTTATCATGAATGGATATCATTAATTCATATTGAATTCCATTAAATGCTTTTTTTTCTGAATCCATTATGCTAATCATGTGATATTCCTTCTATTTCTCTTTTAATGTGAATTGTATTGATTGATTTTTAACTTGTTGAGATTTATTTAGAACTTAGCATATGTATTCATGCGAGAAATGTATCTGTTGATTTATTTTCTTTCAGTGCCTTTGTGAGGGTTTGTTATTTGGGTTATGTAGACCTCATAAAATGATTTGATGATATGCACCTCTACCACCTTTTGATTACCTGGATGGGTATGAATAATGTTTGATATTAGTTCTTACATAAATGTTTGAGAGAATTAACCAGCAAAGCCATTTGACCTAGAGTTTTCTTTGTACAAAAGTCTTTATTTACAGTTTTAAATTATGTAATAGATATGAATGAAGCTGTTCTGATTTTGTATTTTTTATTGTGCCAGTCTTAACAAGTTATGTTTCTGGGACTATTTCCTTATACAAGGAAATAGTATAGTTTTTCTTTTTATTGACATAAAGTTGTCTATAAATGTTCTTATTTCATCTTTAAAATCTGTAGAATCTTTATTTATACCCCCTTTTCATTCCTGATATTATTTTTGTTCCTTCTATTTTTTTGTTTTGTTGAAAAAAAAGCTCTCTTTGCAGTCAATGTTTTTATTTTTTCTGATTGTTCTCTTTCACTTTGACTTTCAGTAGTTCTATTATAATATGCCTAGATGTGGCTTTCTTTGTGTTTGCCCTACTTGGAGTGTAGAATTTCTTGAACTTGGGTTTTGATATCATTAATCAGTTTTGGAAAAAATCTTAGCCATTATCTTTTGCAATATTGCCCTGCACTTTTCTCTCCTCTCTCCTTCATGGCTCTCATTTGCATTATACTGGTCATTTTCACTGTGCCCCATATGTTTCTCATGCTCTTTTTTTGTAGTTGTCTTTTTTTGTACTTCTGTTTGCTCTCTGTGTTTCAGTCTGAATACTGGCAAGATAGTGTCAATAACTGCGACATCTCTTGGTTTGTTTCTATTGTCGATCATATTTTTCTTTTGGTCTTTTGTTATACTTGTAAAGTTTCTGTTAAATCCAAGACATTGTTTTGAGTCTGTTAAGTTTCTAAGTAATGGTATTTTTTTCTAGAGTTCGTTTACTCCATATACCTTGGTAAACTAAGGGTCGGTTGATCTTAAATCAAATAGGGACTCAGCCAACTAAGCCTTATAGGTTCATTTTACTTTTGGTTCTTATCTGCTCTTCAAAATTCATCCTCCCACTTCCAAATGAAAGATTAGGACATTTACTAAGATCCTTTTTTCCGTGGTGTGTTTTGGACATCAGTTGTGTCACCTCAGAATAAAGAGATTGTTGAAACCTTTACTACTTGTCTTTTAGAAGCTTTCAATTTAGTTTTTCTGCTTTTTACCCTGAAACAGTTTAATAATTTAGCAAATGCCTTCAAGTGAAACTTGACTTCACACTCTGCCCCTTTTTTCTCATGTTGGTCTTTCAAGTCCTGTCTGTCTTGGCAGCCACATACTTCAATTTTTGTACCTTCTGCTTTGTGAGTTTTCTAAAAAGCTCTGTTGGCTTTTCTGCCTCTAAGCAGTAGCATTTTACTAGATTTGCAGCATCTTGCTCCATGCCAAGAATTGGCAAATGTTCCTAGGAAAATTCAACTCATAGAATATTTGCTCACTTGTTTGCAGTTCACTTCTTTTGAGAAATTTGACTACTTAAATTCTGTGGGGTTCAATTTTAATCTGATGGAATGCCTTTAAAGGCATATATGTTTGGATAGATTTTTTTCCTTAATCTGGCTCTTTAAATTTTATAGCAGTAACATTGGTTTTTCACAAGATACTTTATCATAGTCAGGAGCTTAATTCCCATCAAGGCACTTCTGATTAATTTTTTTGGCTACCACTCCCCCAGGAAACAGACATAGTCATTACATTCACCTTTACAGCCTTCAGAGGAATCGACATTGGAAATAGGCACACTCCCTGGTTTTTAGGAAAGTGGTGAGATAAAAAACATCCCTGGAACCCCTTTACCTGTGCTCGTAAATTTCTTATCTCAGCAGGTCTTTTTCATTGCCCATGTTATACCTCAGACAGCAGCACTAGTGGCCCCACTGATGTGAGCCATTTCTCAGCCAAAGAAACATGTTAAAATTTTCCCAAGGCAATGAGTGTCAGCAACAGGAGCAGAATTTTTAAAGTTCTTTAATTCCACATTTTTCTGGTACAGTCAACCTCAGTTTCTCATCAGCTTAGCTCCTGGATTAAAGATGAAGCTGGGTATCCTTGAGGAAAGACCCTGCTAAGCTGCCAAAAATTTAAACCTATACTATGTCTCCTAGCCTTCTCCAAAGGGACCTATGGCATTTTACCAGAGAGATTGTACACAGAGGAAATAGAAATAATAAGATGTTTGATGATTACTGAACACTGAACTGACCCTAATTACAAGACTCAAAATGTCACTGTGTTCTGCCAATCAGAGTAAGACCCATAGAAGTTAGGTAATGGAATTTTAGCTCAGGTCCTTTTCACACTGGGTCTAGTTGGTCCCCAACCACATCCTGTAGTTATTTCCATACTTCTAGAATACAGAATTGGAGTAGTTATACTCAGCAACTGGTAGAATACAAATATAAGTTTCCTGAACTGTGGTGTGAGGGGTATTATGGTAGGAAAGCCCAAGTGGAAACCACTAGAACTTCTTCTACTGAGGAAAACAGTATGTCAGAAGGAATAACACATTCCTGGAGAGTTGGCAGAGATGAGTGCCACCAATCAGGACTAGAAGGATGCAAGGGAGATGATTCCCACAACAACCCCATTAAATTCACCTATTTGGCCTATGTAGAAAACAGATGAATCTTGGAAAATGACAGTGGATTATCATACACATAGGCAGATGGTGACTCCAATTGCAGCTACTGTTCCAGATACGGTTTGGTTGCTTGAGCAAATTAACGCATACCTGATATCTAGTGTACAGCTAATAACCTGAAAAATGCTTTTTTTCTCCAAACTTGCTACTAAAGCCCACCAGAGCAGTTTCCTTTCATTTGGCAAGCCAACAATACATCACTCTCCTAACGCAGGGGTATATCAACTCCCTGGATCTATGTTAAAGTTTAGTCCACCTTGCTTACCTTTCCCTTCCACAAGACATCATCAGACTGGTTCACTAAATTGATGACATTATGTTAATTGGACCAAGTAAGCAAGAACTATCAGCTACTATGGACTTATTGATAGGGAATTTGTTTGTCAAATGGTGGGAAATACATCCAACAAAAATTCATGGGTCTTACACTTCAATTACTAGGTACTTAGTGGTGGTGACAATTTTGATATATCCTAGATTTCTAAGTGGTTGTGTCTGGTTCTACCACCGGAAAATGAGATCCAACATCTAGTGGGCTTCTTTGGATTTTGGGGGCAACACATTTTTCATTTGGTTGTGCTACCACCTCCCATTTATTGCATGATGAAAAAAGTTGCAGTTTTGAGTGGAGCCCAGAAAAAGGGAAGGTTTGGAAACAGGTTCCAAGCTGCTGTGGAAGCTGCTCTGCCACTTGGACCATATGATTCAGCAGATCCAGTGGTGCTTGAAGTTTCAGTGACAGGTAGAGATGCTGTCTAGAGCCTTTGGCAGGTCCTATAGGTAACTCATACTGCAGACATCTGTGAGTTGAAGCAAAGCCTTGCCATCCTCTGTGGATAGCTACTTTTCTTCTGAGAAACAGTTTTTGGCCTTAGTAGAGGCTGAACACCTAGCCATGGGCCACCAAGTTCCCATGTGACCTGAGTTGCCCATCATGAACTGAGTGTTGTCTGACCTACCAAGCTGTAAAGTTGGGTGTATACAGCAGTACTCCATAAGCAAATGGAAGTGGTATATATGAGATTGGGCCTGAGCAGGTCCTGAAGGCACAAGTAACTTACATGAAGAAATTGCATATATGCTAATGGTCTTCCTTTTGCTACACTGCCTTCTGTCTCTCAATCTCCATCTCTGGCCTAATGGTAAATTCTCTACAATCAGGTGACAAAGGAAGAGAATAATTGAGCCTGGTATACAGATGGCTCTGCATAATACAGTAGGCATCACCTGAAAGTGGACAGCTGCAGCACTACAGCCCCTCTCTAAGACATTCCCGAAGGACAGGGAAGAAAAAAAAAGTGAGGGGAAATTTTGCTTGGAACATTTTATGTTTCATGGAAGGAGAAATGGCCAGATGTGTGACTGCATACTGATTCATGGTCTGTAGCCAAGGGTTTTATTGGATGGTCAGGGACTTGGCAGGAGCATGACTGAAAAATTGGGAACTAAGAAATTTGGGGAAGAGGAATGTATCCAGACCTCTCTGAACAGGTGAAAAATGTTTTTAAAAAGTCCATTTCATGTGAATGTTCACCAAAGGATAACCTTAGCATAGATGGCTTTTAATAATTAAGTGGACAAGATTACTTACTCTGTGTATCCCAGTCAGCCTCTTTATCCCACCTCCTGTGTCATTCTCCCATGGCCTCATGAACAAAGTGGCCATGTTTGGCAGGAATAGAGGTTATCTATGAGCTTAGAAATAAGGATTTCCGCTAACCAAGGCCAAACTTGCTATAGCCACTGCTGAGCAGGCAATAAACCAACTGTAGGTACCAGCAATGGGTCTATGATATGGTACCATTTTCTGGGGTTGGTCACTAGCTACCTTGTGGCAGGCTAATTACAATGGATCACTTCCATCGTGGAAGGGAAGGCACTTTCTTCTTATTAGAAGAGATGTTGCTATGGTCTGAATGTTTGTGTCTCCCCAAAAGTTACAGGCTCAAGCCTGTCCCCCAAGGTAATGATTTAGGAGGGGGCCCTTTTAGGGGTTGATTAGGTCATGAGAGAGAGCCTTCACGAATGGATTAGTGCCCTTATGAAAGAAGATTAAGGTATCTTGTTCATCCTTTCAGCCATGTGAGGACACAACAAGAAGGCATCACCAATGAAGAATAGGCCTTCATCAGACATCCAATCTGCAGGCCTCTTGATCTTGGACTTCCTAATCTACAGAATTGTGAGTGATAAAATTCTGTTTTTTATAAATTACCCATCCTAAAGTATTTTTCTTATAGCAGGCCAAATTGAGACAGATACTTACACTGGATATAGATTTGCTTTATTTCTACACAATGCTTATACCCAAACTACTATCTGTGGAATACAGATAATGCCTTATCCATCACTATGGTGTTCCTCAAAGCGTTGCTTTTGATCAAAATCTCCCTTTAGAGCAAATGAAGTGCAGCAATGGGGAACATACTCATAGGATTCACTAGTATTACTGTGTTTTCCATAATCTCAAAACAAGTGGCTTGACAGAATGGTGGAATGGCCTTTTGAAAACCCAGCTACAGGATCAGGTAGACAAAATTCCTTGCAGCACTGGGGCAGCATTCACCAGGAGTCTGTATATGCCCTGAATCAATGTTAAATATATGTTGGTGTTTCATTCATGGCCAGATTTCACAGGCCCCAAAATCAAGGGGGGAAAATGGTAGTGGCACCACTCATTATTAGTGTCCCTAATGATGCACTAGCAATAAATGTTACTTCCTGTCCCTGAAACCTTAAGTTCTGCTGGTCTATAGGTCTCAATTTCAAAGGGAGACATGTTTCCACTAAGAGACATAAGAATGATTCTGCTGAACTGGAAGCTAAGACTGTCACCCTACTACATTACACTTATGCCTCTGAGTCAACAGGCAATGAAGTTACCTTGCTGGCTGGGTTGATTTGTCCTGATTAGTGAGAGAATGTTGGACTGCAGTTACACAATTGAGGTAAAGAAATGTAAGTCTGGAAGACAGGACATACAGAATCTCTTAGGATATCTCCTAGTACTACCATACCATCTGATTATACTCAATGGAAAGCAATAACAACCCAAATCAGGAAGGACTACTAATGACCCAAACCCTTCATGAATAAAGATTTAGGGAATCCCAGTAGGCAAAGAGCCATTACCAGTTTAGGGGCTTGCTGAGCACAATGCAAATATGGATTGGATAGTAGAAAAAAGTAGTTATAACTCTTAGCTATGATCATGTGATCAGTTGCAGGAATGAAGATTGTAATTATTACAAATTTTGATGTCTTATTTCATTATGTTTGTGTGTATATATAATATATACCAATGGTTGTATTGTCTTCTTTTACCCACTTATCATCTAACATAATATATTTTAATAATAGTTATTGCCATCGTATTATTTTTTACCTATTTTAAACAGTTTTAATTTATGTATCATAAAATTAATGCATTTCAATGATTTTAACTATAGTCACAGAATTGTGCAGCCATTACAACAGTCTAATATTAGATTTGCCCAACAACTGTCAATCCTTATTCTTCCCTTGCTCCAGCTTTAGGTAGCCCCTAATCTACTTCCTATCTCTACAGTTTTAACTATTCAAGATATTTCATATAAACAGATTTATACAGTATGTGTTCTTTTGAATCTACATTATTTCACCGAGCATAATGTTTTGAGGTTCACTTATGTACTATACACCAATATTTCACTTATCTTTACTGTCATTTTGTTATATAGATCTACTGCATTTTGTGTAACCATCATTCATCAACTCATGGACATTTGAGTTACTTCCACTTCTTGGCTACAGTGAATATTGCTGCGCTAAACACTCACATAAAAATCTTTGTGTGAACATATGTTTTAATTTGTCTGTGATGAATATTTTGGAGTGAAATTGCTGGGTCACGTGGTAACTCTATGTTTAAATTTTTGAGGAACTGCCAAACTATTTTCCAATGTGACTGCACCATTTTACACCATCCTCAGCAACATATGAAGGTTACATTTTCATGACACTCTTGCCAACACTTGCTATCATGTCCTTTTTATTATAGCCATTACAGTGGGTAGTAAGTGGTATTTCATGTGGTCTTGATTTGCTTTTCCTTAGTGGCTAATAATATCAAGCATCTTTTCATGTCCTTAATGGCCATTTGGATATACTCTTTTTTGAAATACTTATTCAAGTTCTTCACCCATTAAAAATATGAATCTTTTTATTATTCAGTTGTTAGAGTTCTTTGTATATTCAATGTATGTCCCTATTGAATATATAATTTACAAATATTTCTCCCTTTCTGAGAGATGTCTTTTCATTTTCTTTTGTTTTGGTGATTGTGTAGAACAATGGAAACTTTTTTCTTTTATTTTTTCAGAGAAAATGATTTTGTTTCATTTATTTACTTAATTATTTTTCTTTCCCGACATTTATTTTGTGTTCAGTGGGTACATGTGCAGGTTTGTTACATGGGAAAATTGCATCTTGTTATTTTCTTGATTGTACTTTTTTGAAATGCAAACATTTAATTTTGAATAAGTCTATTTTTTTTTCTTTTACTGCTCTGCTTTTGGTGTCATTTCTAAGAAATAATTGCCTAGCTCAAGATCAGAAAGAAATGTATACCATGGTTTATCCTAAAGTTTACAGTATTAGCTCTTATGTGTAGGTCTGCAGTCTACTTTGTATTGATTTTTGCATAGGTTGTGAGGTTCACGTTCAAATTAACTTTTTTTTTCATTTACATGTCCAACTGTCCCCACATCATTTTTTTCCTGTTCACATTTATTTTATTCTTTAAATTTATGAGGTTATATAAATATGCATGTATTTTATGCATATATACAATGATATAATAAAACCAGGGTAATTAGCATATTCATCACCCCAAACATTTATAATTTCTTTTTTTTTTTTTTTTTTTGAGACGGAGTCTCACTCTGTCGCCCAGGCTGGAGTGCAGTGGCATGATCTCGGCTCACTGCAAGCTCTGCCTCCTGGGTTCACGCCATTCTCCTGCCTCAGCCTCCTGAGTAGCTGGGACTACACAGGCACCGGCTACCATGCCCGGCTAATTTTTTTGTATTTTTAGTAGAGACTTTACAGCTCCACATGGCTGGAGAGACCTCAAAATCATGGCGGGAGTTGAAAGGCACTTCTTACATGGCAGCAGCAAGAGAAAATGAGAAAGAAGTAAAAGTGGAAACCCCTGATAAACCCATCAGATCTTGTGAGACTTATTCACTATCACGAGAATAGCATGGGAAAGACCAGCTCCCATGATTCAATTACCTCCCCCTGGGTCCCTCCCACAGCAGGTAGGGATTCTGGGAATTCAAGTTGGCCCCTCCAAATCTCATGTCCTCACATTTCAAAACCAATCACTACTTCCCCACAGTCCCCCAAAGTCTTAGCTCATTGCAGCTTTAACCCAAAACTCCACAGTCCAAAAGTCTCATCTGAGACAAGATAAGTCCCTTCCACCTATGAACCTGTAAAATCAAAAGCAAGCTAGTTATCTCCTAGATACAATAGAGGTACAGGTATTGGGTACATACAGCTGTTCCAAATGGGAGAAATTGGCCAAAACAAAGGGGTTACAAAGATCATGCAAGTCCGAAATCTAGCAGGGCAATCAAATTTGAAAGCTCCAAAATGATCTCCTTTGACTCCAGGTCTCACATCCAGATCATTCTGATGCAAGAGGTAGGTTCCCATGGTCTTGGCAGTTCCACCCCTGTGGCTTTGCAGGCTACAGCCTTCCTCCCAGCTGCTTTCTATTGGCTGGTGCTGAGTGTCTGCAGCTTTTCCAGGCACACGTGCAAGCTGTTGGTGGATCTACCATTCTGGTGTCTGGAGGACGGTGGCCCTCTTCTCACAGCTACACTAGGCAATGCCCCAGTAGGAATTCTTGGTCAGGGCTCTGACCCCACATTTCTCTTCCACGCTGCCCTAGCAGAGGTTCTCCATGAGGGCCCTGCCCCTGCAGCAAACTTTGGCCTGGGCATCCAGGCATTTCCATACATCTTCTGAAATCTAGGTGGAGGTTCCCAAACCTCAATTATTGGCTTCTCTGCACCCACAGCCTCAACACCCCATGGAAGCTGCCAAGGCTTGGGGCTTTCACTCTCTAAAGCTCTCTGTTGGCTCTATGTTGGCCCCTTTCAGACATGGCTGGAGCAGCTGGGACACAGGGCACCAAGTCCCTAGGTTGCACACAGCACGGGGACCCCGGCCCAGACCATGAAACTACTTTTTCCTCCTGGGCCTCTGGGCCTGTGATGGGAGGGGCTGCTGTGAAGGTCTCTGATGTGACCTGGAGACATTTTCCCCATGGTCTTGGGGATTAACATTAGGCCCCTTGCTACTTATGCAAATTTATGCAGCTGGCTTGAATTTCTCCTCAAAAAATGGGTTTTTCTTTTCTACTGCATCATTAGGCTGCAAATTTTCTGAACTTTTATGCTCTTTCCCTTTTAAGACAGAATGCTTTTAACAGCACCCAAGTCACCTCTTGAATGCTTTTCTGCTTAGAAATTTCTTCCACCAGATACCCTAAGTCATCTCTCTCAAGTTCGAAGTTCCACAAATCTCTAGGGCAGGGACAAAATGCGGCCAGTCTCTTTGCTAAAACATAGTAAGAGTCACCTTTGCTCCAGTTCCAAACAAGTTCCTCATCTCCATCTGAGACCACCTCAGCCTGGACCTTAATGTTCATATCACTATCAGCATTTTTGTCAAAGCCATTCAACAAATATCTAGGAGGTTTTAAACTTTTCCACATGTTCCTGTCTTCTTCTGAGCCCTCCAAACTGTTCCAGCCTGTGTCTGTTACCCAGTTCCAAAGTCACTTCCACATTTTTGGGTATCTTTTCAGCAACGACCCACTCTAGTGGTACCAATTTACTGTATTAGTCCTTTTTCACGCTGCTAATAAAGACATACCTGAGAATGGGATGAAAAAGAGGTTTAATTGGACTTACAGTTCCACATGGCTGGGGAGACCTCAGAATCATGGCAGGAGGTGAAAGGCACTTCTTACATGGCAGTGGAAAGAGAAAATGAGAAAGAATCAAAAGCAGAAACCCCTGATAAACCCATTAGATCTCACGAGACTTATTCACTATCATGAGAATAGCACAGGAAAGACCGGCCCCCATGATTTAATTACCACCCCCTGGGTCCCTCCCACAACACATGGGAATTCTGCGAGATACAATTCAATTTGAGATTTGGCTGGGCACACAGCCAAACCACATCATTTAATTAAAATTTAAGTATTAAATAGCATAAAGTAGCCTGGGTGTGGTGGCTCACATCCGTAATCTCAGCACTTTGGGAGGCCGAGAAGGGTAGATTGCTTGCGTCCAGGAGTTAAAGATCAGCCTGGGCAACATGGTGAAACCTTGTCTCTACAAAAAATACAAAAAAAAAAAAAAAAATAGTCACATATGGTGGTGCAAGCCTATAGTCCCAGCTACTCTGAGAGGCTAAGGTGAGAGTAACACCTGGGCCTGGTAGGTTGAGGCTGCAGTGAGCCAAGATCATGCCACTGCAGTCCAGCCTGGGTGACAGAGTAAGGCCCTGTCTTAAAACAAAAAATAAAAGTAACTTAAAATAATTATACAGCTTAAAAAAAATTCCTGATTTCCACTATATCTTCCCAGTCAAACAATCCAGGAGTCGAAACCATCAATTGCTTCTTTATAAAAATCTTTCAATGCTTAATTTGAAGGCAACGATAGTAAAGACAATTTTGGAAAATTAAAAAGTAGTAAAAAAAGAAAATCAATCATGTTCCCACTACCTAAACACAACCATTTTCATTTTATGCACATATGTGCTCAGTATTTTTCTATGTACATAGATATTTGGCATAACTTTAATAATAGTGTAGATACCATATGTATAATATATTTGTATGTATCTACATACATCACCATTCTTATTGTAAAGGATGCATAGAAACAGTGGATTAGGTGGGAGATCAGAGTATGGGTCACACTCAAGAATGGGGAGACAATTACCCCATGCAAAATAATTTTCCTAGATCTTTTAACCAAAATATATTATGCAGATGTGACTTAATGCTAAATCATGTGCCTGTTAATGACTGTTTCTAATTTTACACAATGTAGATTGTGCTGTTTGAGAAGTAGGACTTCTATCAGAAACCCAAATGTGATGTCTTAAACACAGAAAAGAAGCCTAGTGTGGTCAGTCCAGGGTTACCCTTGTTTTCCAAAACGACATCAAGGACTTAGACTTTTTCTATCTTTCTACCTTTGCCCTTTTTTACATAGAAGTGAAACTCATGATCACAAGATGGCTGCAGGAACCCCAGCCACCATGCTTAATACCAAACAGCCATAAACTGTTTCTTGAACAATTTCCAAATTTCCATGTTTATAACTGGTGAGTGTGTTTATGTATTTTGTATCCAAGTGTAATTAAGTAATTATAGCTCTAGCAGCACATATATGTGAAAAGCTTAAATAGATATATGTATATACAGACACATCCACACATATATAACTTAACTAAAAATTAAGCAATTATGACTGTAGCAGGACATATATATATATAAATATACAATTGAAAAAAAAGATCTCTAGGAACTTGACCAGAAAATGTGAAAGGTCACATTAGCCTAGGAATTCAAATGCACCATTATGTATAAGCCTTTGATGATACAGTCCTGTATATTCCAGTGGATTGGAAATAATGCCTGCCCCTGATGCCTGAGAAAAGGTACTGAGCCCCTTAAGACTTGGAAGTAAAATGAAGATACCCAATAATTTATATTTTTGAATGTTACTGGAATTATCTTCCATGAGAAGCATTTGTATTGAAGTTATTTTTATGTTGTAAAGACAATTAATCAGGGGCTATGTGGGATGACCTTAAGGTAATGAAGACCAATATGAAATGCTCAGCTAATAATCTGATACAGTAATCCAGATATGGGCAAATACAGGTCAGAACGACAGCAATGACGAGGGAAAAAGAAAGGAAGAGACATTATTAAGAGGAACTTCAAGAACAGATTCTTTCAATATTTAGCAATGTCTATATATGGAACAAATTAAATAAATCAACAATGACTCCAAGATTTCCAGCTTGTATTGCCTGGGCAAAATGACACATAGCTGAGCAAGAATGTGCCCGTATTTATATTTGCAGTTTTCTTTAAAATAAATTGTTAAATGTAAAGAATTAAGTCAATAATTCGATATACTATTTATAGGCTATATATGTAATACACTTTATATTAAAATGATGTTTAAATCTTAAAAGATAATGAGTTCCTACTGGAGAATACCATAAAACACTACCTTCAGCTTTCTAGAGATGGTAAGATATAGCTCGCCAATTATTTTATTCTTTCTTATAATAATAAGAAAACCATGTTTGGAAGTCTAAAATTAAGGCCAAGCATGTAGATTTTAAGATATTCAGATGTCTAAGAAGTGTTAAGGCTACTGTTCTTAGTTTCTTTACTGAAAATAGTATAATTGTCAATGATTTCAAACCTCTAATTGATGATTTTTTTTCTGTTTAGACAATAATTTTTTTATGCAGTGTGTAAATCTCTTTAAAGCCCATAGAGGAAGTGAGCCTGTTTTGACACTTGCATTATATTCCATACAATGTGTTTTGTGAGTGAATTAAGGATATTCTACAAAATCACTACTAACCTATTGTGTAGATTATTACATACCTTCCAACAGACATTGGATATTTGGGAAATGGGAGAAGGGGCTGTTTTATTACAATTTCAGTCTCTGTGAAGTATAAGGTTAAAAATATTAGGGTCCTTTTTGCAATTAATAATTAACCAGCTTTTGGTAAAAAATAATTTCTAAATCATGAGAAATTTACTAAAATATATCTGCTTTTTATTTGAACATTTGTTATAGATTTGGATTTTGCAAAAAGTGTAATTATCTTTCTTGAGGTAATAACTTTTAAACTATAACTTCTAAAGAGTGTTTTATGTAATTAGAAAAATTTACAAATAAGTTATTAGAAATAAAAAAAATTAATACTCATTCAAAAGAAGCAAAGACTATTCAATAAAATGAGAATAGCAATCACCCTGAAAGGACACAATCAATCACACACGAACTGGTAATGTTACATAGTTAAAATATGCACTCTTAGAAAACCCAAACAGAATTCCATTTTAACACAGTAGATTTTTATATTACATCATTTTGTTTCAAAGTTTATATATTTGCTCTTTGATCTGTGTGCTATTTAGATGAATAGATAATTGTTTTCAGGGGATAATGACATTTTTTGATGCTTTGCTTTTGTTTTGACATTTGATATTTTGTGGTCTGAAAATATGGCTTATAAAAATGTCTCTTTAGGTAGAATGCTTTAATGTTTTGTTGCGAGTTCTATACAAATGGATACTCCATTAGAGGTTAAAAACTTTCATTCTTACAGACAATCTCTCTTCTCACTCTCTTCTTCTGCCTTTTTCTCTTTCTCTCTCAGAAAAAAAAAAATTATGTAATATTATTTAAATCCCAAGGAATCATATTAGTCTTTTGACTTAAAATACTAAAATATTTTACTGTGATGATTCTAGTATTTTGGTATTGTCTAGGAGTTTTGCTATATGTATTTTCTTGCTTTTTTGTTTGGTGCATAAAAAATATGAGTTTTTAAATTATCCATTGGTTATTAATTTTATTATTATAGAAATGTTCATTAGTGTTCTATTGATGCTTTCACAAATTACCAAAAACTCAGGGGCTAAAAATGATGCACATTTATTATACTATATTTCTGTAGATTAGAAATCTTACACAAGTGTCACTGGACTTCAATCAAATGTTTTCCTTCCTGGATACCCTAAGGGAAAATAAGTTTCTCTGACTTTTACAACTTCCAGAAGCCACTCACAAATTCATTCACTCATGGCCCTTGCCTCCATCTTCAAAATGAGTATCATTGCAGGTCTCTAATCCTTTTGCCATCATATCTTTTGACCACAGCCAGGAGGGGTTCTCTGCTTTTAAAGGTTCATAATTAGGTTGAAACTTATTGGATAATCCAAGATAATCTCTCCTTCTCCAGTCCTTAACTTCAGTCACATTTGCAAAGTCTCCTTTACAGTGTGATATGACATATTCACAGATTACAGGGATTAGGAAATGCACATCCTAGAGTTCTAATCAATGATTTTGGTTCTCACCTTGAATGTTGCCTTTTGTGAAATGAATTCTGTCTTATATGATATGAATATTGCCTCTTGTGATTGACATTTGTTCTTGTATGTCAAGTAAATCATATTTCACCCTTTCATTTTTCAACATCTGTGTTAACTTTCTAAAGTGATTTTTTTTTGGGCTAGATATTTGCCAGAGGTTTTTTTCACCTCAAATTCGGTATTTGATAGGAGGAATTCGTCTATTCTACTTTATTGTGATAACTGATATAGTTAATTTTATTTTCTTCATTTTATTTTAGGTATTCCATCTATTTTTTTGTTTACTAATACAAGAGAAAGACAGTCACCTTCTAACTGTTCTCACTAGGGTCATTTAATTCATTAGGATTAAATTTTTGTGGGGCTACCTATATTTTTATGATAAAATGATATATTCAAGGATTGCATGTAGCAAGTATCACTGCCTATGGATCCTTGTACATTGAAACTCTGGGCCTCTGGAATAGGTGTGAATCTGCACTCATGACCCCGGGTGCAACAACAATTTCCTATAAACGTTAACAATAAGCAAATTTTGGTTGTTGAGACTCTTGAGCCAAGGAGTTGAGAACAGAAACAGATTAAGTAGTACATGTATTTATGCCACCATATCCCAAAATCCCATTTCTAGATTTACTCTTTATCCAAGCAAAATCAGGCTCTGTCTCAACTTCCTGTGCTAAACGCAATGGATATTTTTCTGTGATTATGTTAATGAACTTTTTTGGCCTCATCTGGAATTGTTAACTATTTCCACCTTCTTGAAAATCCTTCTTCACTTGCTTTTCACAAGGTTATATTTCCTCTTTATAAGTTTTTCTGTCACGTCTGTATTCTGTTATAGTTCCTTTCCGTGGCTATTACTTACATATAAATATTTATTAAACTTATCACTAGATCTATTTCTTACTCCATATATATTATTTGGTTAGCCTTATCTTCTCCCATGTTTTCAAAACCAGAATTATCTGGACTTGGTGATTGTGTAGATACAAAGGTTAAGGAAGGATAGAGAGTTAAGATGACACCTGAGATTCTTGATTGGACATTTTAGTTAATTCCTATTAGAATGACAGCATACAAAACAGGTTTGTAAGAAAATAATTATTCAGCTTTGATCATAGTGAGTTTGAGGTGCCTGTTATTCAAATTAAAAATAGTCCTCAATTGAGTATACAGTCCTAATTAGCAGGAGATATTCTATGGATGTATGTCTTTGGCATTCATCTCACTTGTGAAATAATTGAAGTCATGAGACTAGGTGAGAATGTTATAGAGGAGTCTGTGGAGTAGGGGCATGAAAAGAGAACAAAAGCCAGAGTTCTAAAAAACATCAACGTTTAAGAGTTAGATAGAAGAGAGTATCACAAAATGACTGACTATAAGCACTTAGATAAATGTGAGAAAGCTCAGGAGGAGAATGTGATATAATACAAACAAAGGAAATATATGACTGATGGACAGAGTTGATTGCTCAACTAAGTCATTCCCTCCTTCTACATAATTTATAGAATCTAAAGCATATTCCATCAGCTTTATGCCCAGGGAGGGGAGAAAATACCTTCAGCCCACAGAGTATGAATTATGATTGGCCTAAATAAAATATGCTAATCTCAACTTCTTTGCTGGTGGCTATTTTATATATTGGCTTATGACAAAGTGCTAGCCAATGAGAAGTCAGGGAAAATCTTGGGTATTCTGAGAAAAGACCAATGTTCTATGACATGTACTAGTGGCACTTCTCTTTTTTAGCCAAACATTTTATACTTAATAAACACTTTGACTACAGAAAATTAGGTGGTACAAGCTATAATTCTTAAAATGTAGATTTTTGATGAGTAAGAGAGGAAAACTGGGGGCAAGCACTGACTCAATTATCTCAGGCTGGGGAATTTGTTACCCTTTTTATATAAAGCATAACACATGGTCAATTTTTCTTTTGTTGTATTCTGTGATGTAGACTACATTTCAAATGATAAAATAAAATTAGAAGTGGTAGGGGAATTCCAGGGTGTTGTCGTGAGTTGTCCCTTTCTTAGAGTTCACAGAAGAAAGAGTAGCACTTGGGTAAAATATGAGTAGTCTAAAACAGGAGTGTGAAATAAGTAAGAGAGATGCTGTCTGTCTCTACGTAGTAATAAATTAAATAAGCAGGAGGCCATTAGCTTGAGCTGTCTCCATAATTTGAGTTTCTACATAACAAACTAAAACCTAACTTAAAAGTGTATTATTTTTGTGTACCAAATAGCCAGGTTTTAGCCAATAACAAACAGGAAAGCTTCAGCCAATCACAGGCAGCCATTACCATCCAGGAGCACGGGAAATTCTGGAAATCAAAGGAAGAAAAGTGGACCTCCTTCTGGACACTGGGGCTGGTCTCTCAGTTCTCCTTTCCAATCCAGGCTCCCTCTCCTCTCTTAGCATGACCAAGAGGGGCATCTCAGGAAGGCCTTTAACCTGATATTTTTCCCAACCCTTTAGTTGTAGTTGGGGAGATCTCTTGTTCGCCCATGCCTTTCTAATTATGCCTGAAAGCCCAACTCCTCTGTTGGGCAGGGTTATTCTGGCCCATATAAGGACCACCACCCTGATGGCTCCAGGACAAACTCTTTGTCTCCCTTTAGTGGAGACTGGTATTAACAGAAGTTTGTTCAATTCAAGGAAAAATTGGCTGAGCAAGAACTTCCATACCAGTTCAGATCCACCTTAAGGATTCCACTTCCTTTTCTAACCAGAAACAATATCCTCTGAAACCAGAAGTTAGGAAAGGACTACAAGCTGTCATTGATAAATTAAGGTTGCAAGGCCTCAAACCCTGCCACAGCCCTTGTAATACCCCAATACTGGGAGTCCGAAAACCCAACTGGGAATGGAGAATAGTTCAGGACCTCTGCCTCATTAATGAGGCTGTGGTTCCAATTCACCCGGTGGTTCCCAATCCATATACCCTACTAACTCAGATACCTGAGGGAACTAAATGGTTCACAGTCCTGGACCTAAAGGATGCCTTCTTCTGCATACCACTATACCCCTATTCCTAGTATTTGTTTGCATTTGAGGTTCCCTCTAACCAAACCACCCAGTTAACCTGGATGTTGTTACCTCAGGGATTCCAAGACAGCCCCCACTTGTTCGGGCAGGAATTTTCAAGTGACTTCTCCGAGTTTCTTTATCCTGAGGTTAAAGTTTTACAAATGTAGATGACATTCTCCTCAGTGCTCCAACTGAAGAAATCTCTCAGGAGGGCAGTAAGACTCTTAGTTTTCTGGCTAACAGAGGATGTAAGGTTTCAAAATCTAAAGCTCAACTCTGTAAGACTTCAGTGAAGCACCTCGGCCTGGTATTGTCAGAGGGGACCAGGGCATTGGGCAAAGAAAGGATTAAGCCCATCTCCTCTTTCCCCTTCCCCCAAACTCTCAAGCAACTGAGGGGATTCTTAGGCATTACAGGATTCTGCAGACTATGCATAGCTGGGTACAGTGAAATAGCTCATCCCTCGTATCACCTAATAAAGGAGACTCAGGCAGCTAAAACTCACTGGATAATTTGGGAACTGGAGGCTAGAAGGCCTTGGACCAACTAAAACAAGGCTTGCTTAAGGCACCAGCCCTTAGTTTCCCCATAGGGAAGAGATTTAATCTTTATGCATCAGAAAGGAAGGAAATGGCCCTGGGAGTTCGAACCCAGGCCATTGATACCTGAGGAGGCAGTTGTCTGTTAGCCACAGACTCCCCTTAGAAAACAGCAGTCCAGCCACATTATGTAGAGTATAAAAGGTAGCCTGTAGGCTACCTAAAGAGCTTGAGTTGGTAGCCAAAGGATGGCCAGTATGCCTCCGGGCAGTTGCAGCGGTAGCCTTGTTGGTACCAGAGACTACTAAGTTAACCATGGAGACTAACTTAACTGTTAACACTCTGCATAATGTGGCAGGACTGCTGTCTTCTAAGGGGAGTCTCTAGCTAACAGATGATGACCTCCTCAGGTATCAACCTCTGCTATTAGAGGGATCTGCAGTCCCATTCAGAACCTGTCCCTCCCTAAATCCAGCCACCTTCCTCCCAGAGGAAGCTGAGGAGCTTGAACATGACTAGAAACAGATAGTAGTATGAACCTAGGTGGCCAGAGAGGACCTCAAGGAAACCCCGTTAGAGAACCCAGACTGGATTCTTTTTATAAACAGAAGTTCTTTTGTAAAACAAGGAATCCATAAAGCAGGGCGTGCAATAGTTACTCTGAATGATATTGTTGAGAGTGCATCTCTCTCCTCAGGCATGAGTGCTCAACTAGCCAAACTAATTGTCCTCACAAGGGCACTCGAATTCAGCAAAGGAAAAGCAGTTAACATTCATACCAATTCTAAGTATGCTTTCCTAGTTCTCCATGCCCATGCCACTTCTGGAAAACAGTCAAAAGTTTAAAGCCACCAAGTTAACATATTATCAATCAATAGACAACTCAATAATGGTAGAAAACTTTGTGGCATTTTATTTGCCCTGTGTCCAACTCCGTCCATGGCTCAGCAGTGATATAGAAGACAGCAGTCCATAATCCCAGTGTGAGATTATGGTTCCTGGTTCTAGAAAGAGCAGAATAGAACTTATTTACAATTTTTTTTTAATTTTTAATTTTTGCGGGTACATAGTAGGCATATATATTTATAGGGTACAATGAGATATTAGGTATGCAATGCATAATAATCACATCATGACAAATGGGTTATTAATCCTCTCAAGCCTTTATCCTTTATGTTACACACAATCCAATTTTACTGTTTTAGTTATTTTAATATGTACAATTAAATTATAACTTAGTATAGTTACCCTGTTGTGCTATCAAATATTAGATCTTATTCATTCTTTCTATTTTTTTCACAAATAATTTTGTGTGCTGTAACCTGTCTGGAATCTACCTTCAGGATTGACACAAGGTGCTTGCCTTTGTTTTGCCTAACTCAGAACTCATACAACAGTAGAAAATGGTGGACATTCCTCAAAAACATTGTAAGGCAAATGAACAACCCTGGGGCAAAATATTATGGTTGAAGCATACAATAGAGCAACTAAAGACTGAGAGGAAAAGACAGGATGTTTATTTGAGAAATTAGGCATTCAAAAGTGCTCATGTATAGGAGATAATTTGCCCAAGGCAGGGTACATACTCAGAAAAGACCTGAGAATGCCCTATACTTTCAACTCTCATTAACCTATAGGTTCAGTGTAAGTAGGAAGTGAAGGGAAAAGCCATGTTGTAAATGTCCTGGCTAAACATTGAAGGAGCATCTCAGCACAAATACAATCTGAAATATTGGGAGAGGGCATTAATGAAAAACCTATAGTACACCTCATAGTCAATGGTGAAAAACACAAAGCTTTTCTTCTTAGATAAGAACAAAAAAAATGCCTGCTTTCATAACATACTTTGTATGGAAGATAATTTCCAAAGCAAATAGAAAAAAAATTAAAAGAAACAAAAGACATCTAATTTGTAAAGGTATAAGTAATATCATATTAACAGAATATATAATCCTATCTATGGAATATTGCAGAGTCCATCAAAAAAGAGAGAAAACGCCTTGAGTTAATACACAACTTTGGCAAAGTTGTAGCTTACAACAGCAACCCAGAAAAGTCAATTGTGTCTCTATACACTAGCAATGAATAATGCAAAAAGTAAGTTAAGAAATCAAATAATTTACAATATCATCTAAAACAATAAAGAACCTAGAGAAAAGGTTAGACAAACAGGTGATGGATTTGTACATTGAAATCTACAAAACATTGATTAAAAAATTAAAGAAGACTTAAGTAAGTGAAAAAATATTCTATGTTCACGGATTAGAACACTACCCAAAATGATCAATACATTCAAGATAATCCCTATTCAAAGTACAGTGACTTTTGGGAGAAACAAAGAAGCCAGTTCTCAAATTCATATAAAATTACACGGGGTCCCAAATGTCAAAACAGTCTTTAAAAAAGAAGGACAAATTTGGAGGACTCAAACTTCCCAATTTCAAAACTAATTTCAAAGCTAGTAATCAAAGTAGTGTGACAGTAGCAGAAAGACAGACATGTAGAAAAATGGAAAAGAACCGGGAATCTAGAACAAAGGCCTACATCTATAGTCAATAAATTTTAACAGGGATGCCAAGATGATTCAGTCGGGAAAAATAATTTTTAAAATAAACAATACTGAGGCTAATGCATATCTACATTCAAAGGAATAGATTTTTACACCTGTGTTACACAATATATAAAACTTAATTCAAAATGGATAAATGACTTTAATATAGGTTTTCAGATCAATTGACATATAGTTTTTCATAATATTCTGTAATAATATTTTAAATTTCTGTGCTATTAGTTGTAATGTCTACTTTTTCATCTCTATTTTTATTTACTTAGCTCTTCTCTCTTTTTTCTTAGTTTACATTAATTAGTTATCAGATGTTATTTGCAATCCTCACATAACCAAAAAACAAAAATCTATAACAGATACACAAAAAATAAAGAGTAAGAAATTATATCATATCA